>NC_000014.9:75066258-75217773 GCF_000001405.40 Homo sapiens | reverse complement strand
TTCAGAGATGAAAGGTAGGAGGAGGCTAAGAAAGCAGCCAAGGAGATGAGTAAGAACAACTGGAGAAATAGGAAGAAAGCCAGGAGAGCTCAGCACTATTGCAGTTTAGAGTGAAGTGTGTTTTGCTCTGCTTTTTTGTTGTTGCTGTTTTAATTTTTATTTTATTTTATTTTATGAGACAGGGTCTCCTTATGTTGACCAGGCTGGTCTTCAACCCATCAGCTCAAACGATCCTCCTGCCTCAGCCTCCCAAGTAGCTGACATTCCAGACATATGCCGCCATACCAGCTTTGTTGGATTTTTGTTTTTGTTGTTGTTGTTTGGTTTTTGAGACAGGGTTTCACTCTGTCCCCTAGACTGGAGTGCAGTGGCACAATCATGGCTCACTGCAGCCTCCACCTCCCAGGCTCAAGTGGTCTTCCCACCTCAGCCTCCCAAGTGGCTGGGACTACAGGCAAGCACCATCACACCAAGCTAATTTTTAAATTTTTTGTGGAGATGGGGGTCTCTTTATGTTGCCCAGGCTAGGGTTTTATTTTTATTTTTATTTTTAGATGGAGTCTCGCTCTGTCACCAGGCTGGAGTGCAGTGGCACGACCGTGGCTCACTGCAACCTCCACCTCCCAGGTTCAAGCAATTCTCCTGCCTCAGCCTCCTGAGTAGCTGGGATTACAGGCACATGCCACCACACCAGCTAATTTTTGTATTTTTAATAGAGATGGGGTTTCACCATGTTGGCCAGGATGGTCTCCATCTCCTGACCTTGTGATGCTCCTGCCTCAGCTGCTCAAAGTGCTGAGACTACAGGTGTGAGCCACTGCACCCAGCTAGGTTTTATTTTTTAAAGGGACAATAAAAAGGTTTCAAAGCTTCATAGCATGAACACTGAGAAAAGGCCTCTAGGGTGTAAGATGACCAACGTCCTAGTTTGCCCAATATTGTCCCAGTTTTAGCACTGCCAAGTCCCACATCCCAGGAAATATCTTAGTCCCGGGCAAACAGGACCGTTAGGATGTGCAGAGCCTTACACTAAGATACTAAGTTGGGCAACCAGGAATGTCAATATATACCCTCTAAAAGACCACATTAAAAAAAAATCAGATCCTGCATTTGCCACATCCTCTGGGCATGACCTTGGCCCGGACACAGGCCAGGGTTAATAAACTGTACTCACTGGATCCAGTCTTTGAAAACCTTTGATCGCTTTTGAGGTTTTTGGCCTGGAAGCATTTCCTATCATAAAATTTAGTTAAGTCAAACTCTTATTTGGTTCAAGTGCTCTTTCTCTGCATTGCCTTCACCCAAGCGATTGCTTTTACTGGAAACTCAGGGGTCAAGATAGAGCTGACGGCTTTCAGAAAAGAGAGTAAGCCTCAAAACTGATGCACCTGATAGAAAGAGTAAAGAAAATTAGTTCACTCCATCAAAGCTGGAGATCCAATTTTAAGGAAACTGCAACAGACATGGGGAGCTACAAGGTATATCTCTGGCAACCTCCAGGGCCTGTGGCTTTTCTGAAGACCCAAGGTATTGTGTTTTAGTTAGCAGTTATCACAAGGCTCTTTTTCCAATAGTATCTCGTGGTGCTTGGAAGTCGGAGGAAACTGAACGGCTTGCATGGTTTTGGTTTTTGTTTTTTACATGCCTTTGGTTCTGCCCATTTCCTCTAAGCTGGAGGCCAAAAACTGGCAGCTTGGATGGACCAATTCAGCCCGCAAGTGTGTTTTGTTTGGCCTACATGTTGTTGTTTTTTAAATTTTGAATTAGTTGCCAACATTTAAAAATCAGTAGATTTCACACACAAAAATCCAGATTTCCTGCTTTTCTTGAAAAATTGGAAGATATGAAGACAAGGGGGCTGCAGGTTCACGTGGCAACAATAGACAGGACCTGAGCAGCAAGACCCCCTTTGAATGAGGCCTGGGTGCCTCCCTGAGCTTCAGCCCCACCTAGCTCTCTACTTTCCTTTCCTTTACCTACCGGGCCTATTCCTAAGACTCCACAGAGAATGAGGCTTCCAAAATACCTCAGTCATTGGTTCTGAACCACTTGCCTTGACCTATTTCCTGCCCTACATCCCAACATGTTCCCAAGCCTTGGAGGTTCCGACGTCATGACTGCTTTCTTGTTTGTGGATTCAACTCATCCTCCTGGACCGACACCTGGTACCATTCCCTCCCACCACCACCACCAGGTTACCTGTGCTCCCTGCCCACCCTGCCCCTGCCCCGCCAAACCAGGAAGACACACCCATGCTCCGGGCTGCTGGAAGCCACAAAAACCAAACCACAGGCCCCTCCACTTGGTCTGCTCTCACTTTATATCTGTCCCCGATCTTTTTTCCCACTCCCCACTTCTTTCAGGTCCCACCTGGTTGCTGACCCTTCAACTTTCTCTTTTGTTTCCATCCTTGAAATCATCCCTTGGACTTCACCACAGAGTTCAGCTCTTCTTGCTGTGACGCTTGGCCTCTCTCAAGATGGAGTTTAAACTTTGCTTATGCTTCTACTTACAAAATCTTCAACTCAACCCAGCTCCGGGCATTGGAAATGTATTAGCCAGAGTACTGCTAGCTGCTATAACAAACGCATCCCTAAAAAAATGATAATAGGCCAGGCGTGGTGGTTCATGCCTGTAATCCCAGCACTTTGGAAGGCCGAGGCGAGTGGATCACCTGAGCTCAGGAGTTTGAGACCAGCCTGGGCAACATGGTGAAACCCAATCTCTACAAGAAATACAAAAATTAGCTGGGTGCAGTGGCATGCACCTGTAGTCCCAGCTGCTGGGAGGCTGAGGCAAGAGAACTGCTTAAGCCCAGGAGGTGGAGGTTGCAGTGAGCCAAGAACATGCCACTGCACTCCAGCCTGGGAGTGAGACCCTGTCTCAAAAAATAAACAAATAAATAAATAACTGTTAAAATGATAATCACAATAATATCCACTTTGGCCTTAACTAGAGCATGGCAGAAACAACAAAAGGCGGTTAATGTGGTATGAACTAAGTTCCTGTGTCAGGTTGCCGGCACATTATCTTTGTTCCTTTAATGAGAAGGACTTCGCTTGCAGATATGGCTCATGACTAACTTAAGTGGTCCGATCTTTGGGCAATTGCCCTTACTTTGTGTGCTTCTTGGTCCAGTAATGGAATCCACGAGCAGTAGGTAATTGTAGCAGCCTCAACTATCAAATAATATTAGAAGTCAACAGCTATAATCTGAAAAAAAAAATTCCCAACATTTCAGCAGCTTAACATAATGAAAGTTTGTTTCTCACTTACATAACAGTCAAATGTAAGTTGTCCTGGTCCTAGCCTTTTTCCACCTGTGGCTCAGCCATCTTCCAGGGCCTCAGAATCTTCTTTATCCAGCTGGTGGGGAGCAAAAAGGAGAGAGTGGCAAAGGAATCCCCACTTTTTAACTGCCTCTTGGAAGTGATACACATCATTTCTACTCATATTCCATTGGTGAGAGCTAATCATGGATCCCCACCTAAATGCAAGAGGAGATGGGGAATATAGTCTGTGGTGAGGTGCCACCCCCAGTGACAATGACATGCAATGGTAGTAAGGGCTTCAATTTTGGGTGGACAGCTGGCTATCTCTGTCACAGCACCAAGTCCAAGCAGAGGCCCACATTGCTGGTTCCCTGGATGAGCAATGCAAACGTTTTGCCACTGTGAAGTAACCGTGGAAGTGCGTATCCTATTTCCCATTAGGGATGAGAAAGAAACTGCACATTTTCCTCCAGGATTATAGTAGCAGTCAGAACTCTCTATGGTAACTGATAGAAACCCAAATCAGCCTAAGAAAAAGGGCACATAGGTCAGGCACAGTGGCTCATGCCTGTAATCCCAGAACTTTGGGAGGCCGAGGTGGGCAGATCACTTGAGGCCAGCAGTTCGAGACCAGCCTGGCCAACATTGCAAAACCCCATCTCCACTAAAAATACAATAAAAAATTAGCAGGGTGTGGTGAAGCATGCCCGTAATCTCAGCTACTAGGGAGGCTGAGGCACGAGAATTCCTTGAACCCAGGAGGCGGAGGTTACAGTGAGTCAAGATCATGCCACTGCACTCCAACCTGGGTGACAGAGCCAGACCCTGTCTCAAAAAACAAAACAAAAAAAAAAGAAAAAAAAGAAAAGAAAAAGGGCACATGTTGGCTGTCATAATTGGGAAGTCCAGGGGGTTGAGTTAGTCTAAAGTACAATTGCATCCAGGCACTCAAACATGAATATTAGTTATTTCTTCCTCTCTCCGTTTCCATGTCCTGGCTGAGTCCCCTCTTTTCTCCTGTAGATATTCTCCACGTGGCAGGGAAGGTGGCTGACAGCTGCCCTTGACTCACATCCTCCCAATCCCATGTTCTAAAAGGCAAAAGCCCTTCTCCTCTAGCCCCAAGTTTTAAAACCACAGAGAAGTCTGTGATTGGCCTGGCAGGGGTCACTGGTCTACCAGGGAGACGAGTGAACTAAGAGTTCCTTTCCCACCACATTGAAGTGGGGTAAGAGCAGCTTCCTCAAGAAAGCAGGTACTGTAGGACAGACAAAGCAATAAATGCCTGCCACAAACACGATGTAGACTCTGCTTTGACCACACAGTCTCTGACCATACCTCTGTGGCCAGCCCAGACTCTGAGCCTCAGTGCAGGTCCTGGGGAGCTGCCTCCTGAGACCAGAGCACACCCACTGTGCACTGTTTTAGTTAAGGTTATAGTTTCTACAAGAGTTAATAAGGTCTTCACGACTTTCTATGAATTCACCGGAAGGAACTGGAAAAGGGCTATTGGTAAGTTTTTACAAGATTTGAAGAAAAAGTTCCATCAAAGGGGTATAATTGCATAATGAATATCATTGGAAAATGCATGCTTTTTAGGCAGGAATTTACTTCAAACGTTGACTTACCTCATTTACTCATCCATCCAACAAATAATTATTAAGCACCTGTAATGAGCCTCGTTTGGAGTCAGGTGCTGGACATGCAATGATGGGTAAGTTCAAGTCCGTGGTCTCACCAGACTTAATGTCTCTAGTATATAAGAATACAGAGAAATACAGTTGAGGCAAAATGTGATGCCATGACCAAGTGTTTAAGATAATATTGTTACATAAACAAACAAACATACAAAGACATTTCTTCCAAGCATGGAAGAAGTTCCTGATATCCTCAAGAAAGAAAAATAGGAATCAGGAACCAATGGCAGCCAGGCTGTCTTGGAATTCATGATATATGGCAAAGCACTTCTGGAGTGTTGGTGCCACTGGTATGCCACATTGCCAGGTACATTCTTGGGACCAGCCACAATCTGATCCCTTCCTTGATTGCTACTTAGGTTTGGATAGAGAATCTTTTCCATGAATACACATTTCCAACCTATTGTTAAATCAATGGCAATTGTTTTATATTTATAAAAACTTGTTTTATATTTATGGAATACTATTATCCAAGATGAAGAAAATCTATACAGCTATCTACCTCTTAATTTTTTTAGTATTTTTTTTTCTTTTTTTTTGAGACAGATTCTTGCTCTGTCCCCCAGGCTGGAGTGCAATGGCGTGATCTCAGCTCACTGCAACCTCTGCCTCCTGGGTTCAAGTGATTCTCCTGCCTCAGCCTCCTGAGTAGCCGGGACTACAGGTGCCTGCCACTACACCCAGCTAATTTTTGTATTTTTAGTAGAGAAGGGGTTTCTCCATGTTGGCCAGGCTGGTCTTGAACTCCTGACCTCAAGTGATCCACCCACCTCAGGCTTCCAAAGTGCTGGGATTACAGGCATGAGCCACTGGGCCCAGCCCAGTAAATTTTTTATTTTGAAATAATTTTAGATTTACAGAGAAATTGCAAAGGTAACACAGAGAGTTCCCATATACCCTTTATCCAGTTTCTCCTGCATTCTTACATTACCATGGTACATTTGTCAAAACTCAGAAACCCACACTGGTACATTACTAGGAACTAAACTCCCTGCTTTATTCTGATTTCACCGGTTTTTCTTCTAATGTTTTTTTCCCTGTTCCAGGATCCAACCCTGGATATGACATTGCATTTTTTTTTTTTTTTTTTTTTTTTTTTTGAGACGGAGTCTCGCTCTGTCGCCCAGGCCGGACTGCGGACTGCAGTGGCGCAATCTCGGCTCACTGCAAGCTCCGCTTCCCGGGTTCACGCCATTCTCCTGCCTCAGCCTCCCGAGTAGCTGGGACTACAGGCGCCCGCCACCGCGCCCGGCTAATTTTTTTTTGTATTTTTAGTAGAGACGGGGTTTCACCTTGTTAGCCAGGATGGTCTCGATCTCCTGACCTCATGATCCACCCGCCTTGGCCTCCCAAAGTGCTGGGATTACAGGCGTGAGCCACCGCGCCCGGCCATGACATTGCATTTAATAGCTCTTGATTTTTGAAGATCATTATTCTTCAGGCATGAGTCAATGCTTCTTCTTTTCCTCCTTGCTGCCAATGTTTTAGATATTTCATGGTTCATTAGTACCTCCACCAGAGTGTGAGCAAGGGAAGGAAACCGTTTTGAAATGCAAATCAGCCAAATGTTGTTATTTATTCATTTGTGGCAGTTAGCTCGGTTACTAATAAGGCCAAGGTTACTGGCTTCACCTCTGTAAATGAGTCAGCTGCCTTAGCAATGACGGGGGAGCTGTTGTCCAGTGGCCATTATTTGCACCCCAAACCCTGTTAAGCTTCTCTTAAATGCAAACTTTTCACCACTGTGAGGTAATGGAGGTAATGGTGGGAGTGTGTATCCAATTACCTTGCTACTCCAGGTGTGACTCATGAACCAGCAGCATCAACATCATCTGGACGTTTTTAGAAATGCAGACGCTCAGGTGCTACCCAGATCCAAGAAGGAATCTGCACTTTAACAAGATACCCAAGTAATTAAGAACCATGGCCAGGCGCGGTGGCTCACGCCTGTAATCCCAGCACTTTGGAGGCCGAGGCAGGTGGATCATCTGAGGTCGGGAGTTCAAGACCAGCCTGATCAACATGGAGAAACCCCATCTGTATTAAAATACAAAATTAGCCAGGCGTGGCGGTGCATGCCTGTAATCCCAGCTACTCGGGAGGCTGAGGCAGGAGAATCACTTGAACCCAGGAGACAGAGGTTGCAGTGAGCCAAGATCGTGCCACTGCACTCCAGCCTGGATGACAGAGCGAGACTCCATCTCAAAAAAAAAAAAAAAAAAAAAAAAGCATGGCCATGCAACAAATATTTATTGAGAAACTACTCTGTGTCAGGTGCTGGAGTTTCAAAAGTAAAAAAAAAAAGAAAACATCTCTCTGTTATTCTAGACTTATAGTCTAGTAGAGAATAACAGGTACAATTATAAAGACAATTGTATTGATGGGGTACTGCCAGGGAACAAAAGAGGGCCTATTCTTGAACTGGGAGACCAGAGAAGATTCTCAAAGAATGTCATATTTAGCTGAGACCTGAAGAATAAGAAGATTTAGCCAGTTGAAAGAAGGAGGAAGATACAGGGGGTGAGGATGGAGAAAAGCAAGTTAGGGATGGAGGAACTCAGAGGCAAGGCAGACCACGGTGGCTTCTGCAAATTGCACATAGTTCAACACAGTGAGAACATCAAACGCCAACACTGGGAATGTTTGAGGTGGATGATCTGGAGATTTTCTTCCCTCTCTAGTCATCAGCATCATCAACTCATATTATTGAGCATCTACTATATGCTGAGCACCATGATAGGTGTTGGGGATATGGGTAACAAATGTCACAAACCCATTATACACAGGACATCAGTCTAGGTTTGCTACATACTATAACAACTGGAGGGAAGAGGTACACATACATCAGAGGTCCTGCGGGAATGCTCAGGAATCGCCCCTGGGCAGAAGAGTCCAAGGGAGGCCAAGCCTGGAATCAGATAGGGTAAGTGGAGTATGTCAAATATTGAGAGGCTAAACAAAGGGGTCCCAGCTAAAGCATGCCATAATAAAAGAGTACATGGCTGTGGCTCACACCTGTAATCCCAGCACTTTGGAAGGCAGAGGCGAGCGGATTACCTGAGGTCAGGAGTTCGGGACCAGCCTGGTCAACATGATGAAACCCCATCTCTACTAAAAATACAAAAATTAAGGCCAGGCACGGTGGCTCACGCCTATAATCCCAGCACTTTGGGAGGATGAGGCAGGTGGATCATGAAGTCAGGAGTTCGAGACCAGCCTGACCAACATGGTGAAACCCCATCTCTACTAAAAATACAAAAAATTAGCTGGGCGTGGCGGCACGTGCCTGTAATCCCAGTTACTCAGGAGGCTGAGGCAGGAGAATCGCTTGAACCTGGGAGGCAGAGGTTGCAGTGAGCTGAGATCATGCCACTGCACTCCAGACTGGGCGACAGAGTGAGACTCTGTCTCAAAAAAAAAAAAAAAGCCTGGAATGATGGTGCGCGCCTGTAGTCCCAGCTACTTGAGAGGCTGAGGCACAAGAATTGCTTGAACCCGGAAGGCAGAGGTTGCAGTGAGCTGAGATCGCCTCACTGCACTCCAGCCTGGGTGCCAGAGCCAGACTCTGTCTCCAAAAAAAAAAAGAAAAAAAAAAAAGAGTCCCTTAGGGCTAGAGGGCTAGAAGGTGCTGCTGAGGAGGTCAACATTGGGCAGGGCATGAGAGGTATATTAGTTTTCTATTCCTCTGTAACAAGTCACTACAAACTTAGTGGCTTAAACACACCCATTTATTAGCTCACGGTTCTGTGGAATTCATGGTTCAGAGTCCGGCAGGCTCAGCTGAGCTCTCTGCTTAGGTTTTCACGCGGCTGAAGTCAATATATCAACCACACTGGGCTCTTATCTAGAGGTGCTGGGGAAGAGCCCACTTCTAAACCCATTCAGGTTGTTGCCAAAATCCAATTCCTCATGGCTGTAGGACTGAGATCCCTGTTCCCTTGTTCGCTGCTATCTGGAATCCGCTCCCTGTAAGTAGATGCCCCCATGTTCTTCTCAAACTCCCCGCTCCATCTTCAAAGTCAGCCGCAGTGCATCGTCCTTTGAATCTCTGACTTTCTCCTCTGCTACTATCCAGAGACAGCCCTCTGCCCTCAAAGGCCCACATGATTAGGGCAGGCAGACCTGGATAATCTCCCTGTCTTGAAACAGAACACAATCACGGAACTGAAATCCCATAATATTCAGAGGTTCCTGGGATTTGGACATCTTTTGGGAATCATTTTAGAAATGTTGTCTCCTACAAGAGCAAGGAATCAAAATAGAGGCTTAGAATTTTAACTGGCAGGCCTTTGTAGCAGCCAAAGTTCTGTGAGCATAGAAGTGGGGTCTGCATTCTGATGGCCCCCTGGGAGGTGTGCCTTTGCACTGTATGAGTACACACATTTGCAAAAGGTCTCACACCCACTCCGTTACTTCTGTGATCTCCTAGGATATTCCGATAGTCATAGTGATTTTGGAGGCGAGGATCCTCCTTCCTCTGAATTAGGTCAGGCTGCAAATCTTCTTGCTGTCCCCATGAAGGGTCCCTGTTATGTCCCACAACAGCCCAGATCTGGAGCTCAGTCCTGTTCTCGTTTTGTTTGTTTGTTTGTTTGTTTTTTGGGACAGTCTCGCTCTGTCACCCAGGCTGGAGTACAGTGGTGCAATCTTGGCTCACTGCAACCACCGCCTCCCGGGTTCAAGCAATTCTCTGTCTCAGCTTCCCATGTAGCTGGGAGTACAGGCACGTACCACCACGCCTGGCTAATTTTTTGTATTTTTAGTAGAGATGGGGTTTCACCATCTTGGCCAGGCTGGTCTTGAACTCCTGACCTGGTGATCCACCTGCCTCGGCCTCCCAAAGTGCTGGGATTACAGGCGTGAGCCACCGTGCCCGGCTTCCTTTCTAGTCATGGCACAAAAACCCACTGTCTGTGGCATTGGTGGGTGCAGCAGGGGACTTTAATGAGGGTTTGAGTCATGCCCTCCATCCTCTTTCCAATAGCACCAAGCATCTCACTCCTCAGAGGGCCTTCATCCTTCTTGGCTCTCTTCCTTCTCTCTCCTCCAATGTCGCTTCTCTCAGTGCTTTACCTCGTCCCTGTTTCTCAAAAGCCAGCCCTGTGTCTCCTTTCTTCTTATGCACAGGGATTCCCTTTTCCCCACCTCCGCAGCAGAATGTTTCCACTTCCGATGATTTGGCTAAGGCTTTGCCTGTCACTGCCTGTAAGGATCTACCAGATTAATTCCTTAAATCAAGACCACCTTCCTCCCACACCTTCATCTTGCAATGGGAATGAAGGTGAAGGTGGTTTCCTTCTTCCACCTTCACCTGTTATGGAAGGAATGAATGAATGGAAGTACCCAGTAACACAGGAACATGGGGGTGGGAGGAGCACCTCCCCAAGCAGGTTACAGGGAAGCAAAGCCCTGAAAGGGTGACTAGGAGGGTGGAAACCAGATCCCAACTGAGAAAAAGAGGATTTTTTTGGTTTTGTTCTTGTTTTTGAAACAGGGTCTTGCTCTGTCACCCGGGCTGGAGTGCAATGGCGCCATTCTGCTCCCTGCAGCTTCAACCCCCTGGGCTCAAGTGATCCTCCCACCTCAGCCTCCCAAGTAGATGGGGTCTTGCTATGTTCCCCAGGCTGGTCTCAAACTCCACAAGCAATCCTCCCACCTTGGCCTCCCAAAGTGCTGGGATTACAGGTGTGAGCCACTGCACTCAGCCTTTACTGGGCTTTATTATTATTGTTATTATTTTTGAGACACAGTCTCTCTCTGCTGCCCAGGCTGGAGTGCAGTGGCCCGATCTCAGCTCACTACAATCTCTGCCTCCCGGGTTCAAGAGATTCTCCTGCCTCAGCCTCCCAAGTAGCTGGAATTACAGGAACATGCCTCTGTGCCCGGCTAATTTTTTTATTTTTTGTAGAGACAAGTTCTCACTATGTTGCCCAGGCTGGTCTCTAACTCCTGGGCTCAAGTGATTCTCCCACCTTGGCCTGCCAAAGTGCTGGGATTACAGACATGAGCCACTGTGCCCAGCTAGGAGTTTTTTTTACCAATACAGACAGAAGAGAGTGGGAGAACAAGGCCTGCTTTAGGAAGTGAGGAAAATGCACAGAACTGGCCTTGAAGGAAGACTGAGACTCAAGTTAGTCAACAGGAAGAGGACAAGGCTTTCCAGGCAGAACCCTATTAACCAGGAAGGCAGGAAGGGGGGACTGTTTGGCTGTTTCTTAACCAATCACTAGAGCTCTTTAACCAGAATGGAGGGCTGTCATAGAATATGCCAGGTGTTAAGGGATGAGAGGTTAACTAACGGCGAACTTGTAAAAGGTATAGTATACAAGGCTATTACTTCCCCCAGGCAATGAGGAGCCATTGAGGTTTTGGTGTGGCATGTCAGTTTGTGCTAGCAAGGTCACTTTTATTGACTTAACCTGTATGTTTGTAAGTGTGTACCTTCAGATTACACAAAACCTGGTTTTACACACATACACACATGCATACTCCCCCAATTCACATAAGAGCGACTATTTGGTAACATAAGAACCTGCATTAATGGTGGGTTTCTGTGGTCTTTTTTTCCTGCCTTTGGCTTAGTGATTTCTTAGTTCACTGAGAATCAGCAGCAGAGCTGCCACTAATAGGCAATTTGATGAATATGACTAATTGGCTCTCAGCATCCATTCTCACCTTTCTTTTCTTTTCTTTCTTTTTTCTTTTTCTTTCTTTTTTTTTTTTTTTTTTTTGAGACATGGTGGTCTCACTCTGTCACCCAGGCTGGAGTACAGTAGCATGACCTCAGCTCATTGCAACCTCTGCCTCCTGGGTTCAAGCAATTCTCCTGCCTCAGCCTCCCAAGCAGCTGGGATTACAGGGGTGAGCCACCACGCCCAGCATACTGGACTTTCTTATGTTAAAAATGCTCTCCAGCTACAAACTCAGACTCCCTCAAGTTAGAGTTCTGGATGATGCGAGTAGGCCTCATTAAATCTGATGCACTCATGAGAGATTTGAAAGGCAAAAGGAAGTTGAGTCATGGGCCCCTTTCTTCCTGCTTTGGCCACGTTCTGCTGCAAGCAATGTCAAGGAGATGTGGGGATCCACAGCAGCAGTCCAGTGTGTAATTTCCAGATCCATGACTATCTACTGGAACTTGTGGCAGAGGAGGTGGAGGTGATACCTAATCCCTGGATTACAGCTGTGGTGGTGGTGAAACCTTAAACTGAGCCATCCCATTAGCAGCCTCCTGATTATGAAGGAGTTACAGGTCCCCTGGGAGGTCAGTTCTGGGGTGCTTGGGTACTCAGTCCAAGAGGGAGCTCAGTTCCCAACCTTCTGATAAAATAAAATTATTAATTTTCTGCCGGGTTTGGTGGCTCATGCCTGTAATCCCAACACTTTGGGAGGCCAAAGCAGATGGATCACCTGAGGTCAGGAGTTCAAGACCAGCCTCACCAACATAGTGAAACCCCGTCTGTACTGAAAATACAAAAATTAGCTGGGCATGGTGGCAGGCACCTGTAATCCCAGCTACTCCAAAGGTTGAGGCAGGAGAATCGCTTGAACCTGGGAAGAGGAGGTTGCAGTAAGCCGAGATCATGCCACTGGTACTCCAGCCTGGATGACAGAGCAAGACTCCACCTCAAAAAAAAAAAATTATTAATTTCCTTCTTGCTTAAAATACCTTGGGTAGCTTCTGTTTCTTGCTTTGAACCTTGACTTCTGCAATAAGAGGATATATACAAAAGGGTAACTTTTCAATAAATAGACTCAAAAAAATCTTACATTTGGCACCAAAACTACAATGAATTAGGGGGTCTGGAATCACTGGCCTCTTAGCTCATGGACATTCCTAAGCTAATGCTCCCCAACTGTGATACGTATACCTCTAGTGGCACACAGGAGGATTTTAGCACATGAGTGAACATTTACACAATTTCAATAAGTGTATATTTATTTTAATGTGTACTAGAAAAAAATTTATAGGTAGCATACCAGACCCGATTTCATGAATCAGCAACTTCAAGAATATGATTGTTTACAGCAAGGCTAGCATAGGTAGTGACTATGCCAGCGAAAATATGTTAATTAATGAAAAGTATAAAATAAATAGCAGATGGATAACATGAAGATTTGGCAAAAATCATGAGGATGGTATTCAAACAACTGAAGTTTGGCAAACCCTTTCCTAGTTATTCATTCTTATGAGTCCCCTCACTATAGGAATGGGGAGAAGCCAGTTGGCACCGTAAGTCCTATTCGCCCACCTGTACCACACTCCCACTCCCAAAGATCACCATTCCTTTTAAACTCCAGCAATTACTGAAAAGTCAATACTGTTCTTCAGTGTCCTAGAGAAAACTCCCAGAACCTGAGGTTTATCACATGCCAAGGCTGAATGAGCCCATCAGCAGGACCAAAGGGTGGAGTTGGGAGGAGAAACTGCAAAATGAGCCTGGCTCCAGGAACAGCATGTATTCAGTACAGAGCCATAAGTTCAGAAATACCAGACTTGGGTGTGTTTGTTATGGAGACTTACTATAGTGAAAGGAAAAGCTGACAAAGTCATCTCTCGAGTCCCTGTCAAAAGCCACAAGCCCCAGACACACTAACAAAATAAGGCGACGGTTAGGAGCCAACATACCTCTCTGTCCTTGTTTTCATTCCAAAGACCTCAGAAGAGATCTTGCAGATATATGACTCTAAATGTAATGAGTACAAATTGCAAGTACTCAAAAGCTAAGCTTTGATAATGCTTAACTGCAAGAGCAAAGAGATAAGATGAGACACTGGACTAGAGGACATTTAGAAAAAACGGTCTAATAGATCAATGGTTTCCAAATGCCCATCTACACAGACCAGTGTCTTCTATGGAGGATGGCTGTGTGTTTTAAAATTGTAGATTCCCAGTCACTTCCCAGAGAGGATTCTGGTGTAGGCTGGAGATGAACTCCTGGGGTCCCAACTGCCCCAGATGGCTCAATCGAGTTTACAAACTACTTTTTGAGCCCTTGTGCCTCATATCTGGTTACTTCGTTCCATTCTCCGCCAGCCCAGCCTGGTTCATTCCTTCCACAATGGTTGACATCTAATAGCTTTCTAACACATCTCCTGCCTCTCTCTGTCTCTGTCTCTCTCTCTCTCTTTCTTTCTTTTTTTTTTTTAGACGGAGTTTTGCTCTTGTCACCCAGACTGGAGTGCAATGACGTGGTCTCAGCTCACTGTGACTTCCACCTCCCAGGTTCAAGTGATTCTCCTGTCTCAGCTTCCCAAGTAGCTAGGACTGCAGGCACGTGCTACCAGGCCCAGCTAATTTTTGTATTTTTAGTAGAGACGGGGTTTCACCATGTTGGCCCAGCTGGTTTCGAACTCTTGACCTCAAGTGATCTGCCCCCCTCAGCCTCCCAAAATGCTGGGATTACAGGCATGAGCCACCACGGCTGGCCCTCTCTTTTTTTTTCTTTTTTTTTTTTGGCCGGGCGCGGTGGCTCACACCTGTAATCCCAGCACTTTGGGAGGCCAAGGCGGGCGGATCACGAGATCAGGAGATCGAGATCATCCTGGCTAACATGGTGAAACCCCGTCTCTACTAAAAATATGAAAAAATTAGCCGGGCGTGGTGGCGGGCACCTGTAGTCCCAGCTACTTGGGAGGCTGAGGCAGGAGAATGGTGTGAACCTGGGAGGTGGAGCTTGCAGTGAGCCGAGATCACGCCACTGCACTCCAGCCTGGGTGACAGAGCGAGACTCCGTCTCAAAAAAAAAAAAAAAAACTCCATTTAAAAAAGAAAAAAAAGAAAAACAAAGGAAAAAGAGAAAGCAATGTCCAGTGGCTACTAGAGCAGACATGTCTCGTCTGTCTGGCCAGCATCTGTTCCTTTGGAATTTGTCTCCTTTTCTCTGTTGTGCAGAATTCTGGAGGTCAGCCAATCCCAGGTCCCATGAAGGGGGCACATGACCTAAGCTAAGCCATTCAGACTCACCTGGGCATTTGAATTTTGAACAGAGATTCAGGGATGGGAAGTTTGAAGTTGAATCATGAGTTAATCCCCAGGAGATCCCCTCTTGCCTGGTCAGATTTTCCTTCAATTCTATAAACTCCCCAATATCCTTCCTTCAGATGGCTTTTTTTTTCCTGTTAACTCAGAATTCGTTCTTATCTCCTGAAACTGCAGAGCCCTGATATACTTCTCCATTGTCCATAGCATGAAGCTTACAAAGTTCTCACCCTATATTACAGATTCTCCCCATTCTGTTTATGTCTCACATGACGGCTCTGCCCTAACTAAGCTTTAAGCCCCTATGTGATCTTCTGTGAGCCAGCAATTAGACAGTCTGCATTTTATAAGCAAGGAGGATATATAACTCATGTCTATAAGGCCTTGAGGTCCTGTGCTAGATGGCATGCTATGTTTTGATCAGATTTAATTGAGAACTAGCTCTGATATTTTATTTATGTATTTATTTATTTATTGTAGAGATGCGTAGTCTTGCCATCTTGCCCAGGCTGGTCTTGAACTCCTGGGCTCAAGCAATCCTCCCACTTCAGCCTCCCAAAGTGCTGGGATTATAGGTGTGAGGCCCCATGCCTGGCCCTACATATTCTAAAATAAGAAAAGGTGTTCTGCTATTTAGAAATGACTGCCAAATCATCATTCTTTTCTTGGGTTTGTGCTACTGTCCAACGAGCGCATAGTGAGGGCAGTACTGCTAACACATACCAAAAAAAAAAAAGCAAAAATAAACATAAAAAACAGAAGTACTTTCCAGAGACTAGGATTACAGACAACCTGGATATAAACTAAGTTCTGGAGGTATTTTAAAAAGAGTATTCTAAAGAGTATATTCTAGGCCAGGCACGGTGGATCACACCTGTAATCCCAGCACTTTGGGAGGCCGAGGTGGATGGAACTCCTGAGGTCAGGAGTTTGAGGCCAGCCTGGCCAACATGGTGAAACCCCATCTCTACTAAAAATATATAAACTAGCCAGATGTGGTGGTGCATGCCTGTAATTCCAGTTACTTGGGAGGCTGAGGTGAGACAATCACTTAAACCTGGGAGGCAGAGGTTGCAGTGAGCCAAGATCACGCCACTGCATTCCAGCCTGGACAACAGAGCAAGACTTCGTCTCAAAAAAAAAATAAATAAATAACTTTAAAAAGAGCATATCCTATTCCTTTGGTTGGAAATTAGATTTGGAAGTTTAAGATAGAGGGCCCAAACAAACTAGCCCACTGACTCTTAATGAGGCCAAATCCCTCTGGGTTGTTGTATCCTGGGAATTTAAATCAAGTGGAATATATGTATACATTCTGCAAAAGGAAAGGAGTGCAAATTCGTAACAACACAAATAAAATTAAGAAACAAGGTTGTTTCCAGATAGATGGCAAGGCTATTAGTGGATTTTCTTTCCCTTCCTTATCTGCCCTGCTCGCTCGGCCAATGTTATTAGCTCCAGTCACCAATTAGCCATTGCTATCTGGGGCCGCATTCACCAGAGTTTTTTTATTCCCTGATAATGGAGAGAGGTAATGAGTGAGGTAATTTCTCCTTCAAGAATGATGCAATGAGCAAGACTGTGTTGGAGTCCAATAAACTCGGGTTTATATCCTGCTCTGGCACTTGTTGGTAGATTAACTTCGGGCAAGTTATTTCCTCTCTCTAAGTCTCAGTTTTTTTAATCTATAGAATGAGGACAATAATGCTGGCCCCATCCTCAAGATTCTGATTCCTTTGGTCCATGGTGGCTTGAATCCTTGGAATTTTGTTTACAGTGCCCAATGTGTTGTTGTGAAGATTAAATGTATAAAAAACTCTAGAATAGTGCCTGGCACTGAGTCGAGGCTCAATCATTATTCCTTTCCCTTCTCCTTTGGTGCCCTCTTCTCTGGCACCATCTGTCCATTTCTACCCCAGACCTCTGATCACATTATCTGCAGGTATACCTATATGTCTGTGTACATGAAAACACATAATTTAATACATAAGCATGCTATGTCCATTTCCACTTATTTGTTCAACAACTAGTTATTAAGAATTCATCCGTGCCAGGCACTGTGACAAACCAGTTAGACAAGTTCCCTGTTCTCATGGAACTTGCTTCCTAGTGGGGAGTATTGTAGGTGATAATGATAGGGAGGGACAGGAAGGGAAAGGAGTGCCACGTGGACTAGGCAGGTGAGGGAAAGCTCTCTGAAGAGGGGACCTCTGAGACCTGTAGGATGAGGAGGAGCCAGCCATGAACTAGGCTGGGGAAGAGCACCAACCACAGGGCACAGCAAGTGCAAAGGCTCTAGGGCAGGACCAGCTTGGTGAGTGTGAGGAACAGGAAGGTGCTAGTGGTGGCCGGGTGCGGTGACTCACATCTATAATCCCAGCACTTTGGGAAGCCAAGGCAGGTGGATCACCTGAGGTCAGGAGTTCAAGACCAGCCTGGCCAACATGGTGAAACCCCATCTCACTAAAAAATATAAAAATCTGCCGGGTGCAGTGGCTCACACCTGTAATCCCAGCACTTTGGGAGGCAGAGGTGGGTGGATCACGAGGTCAGGAGTTCGAGACCAGCCTGGCCAATGTGGTGAAACCCCATCTCTACTAAAAATACAAAAATTAGCCAGATGTGGTGATGCGTGCCTGTAGTCCCAGCTACTTGGGAGGTTGAGGCAGGAGAATGGCGTGAACCGGGAAGGCAGAGCTTACAGTGAGCGGAGATCGCACCACTGCACTCCAGCCTGGGCAACAGAGCGAGACTGTGTCTCAAAAACAAAACAAAACAAACAAACAAACAAAAAAACATTAGCCAGGTGTGGTGGCAGGCGCCTGTAATCCCAGCTACTCGGGAGGCTGAAGCAGGAGGATTGCTTGAACCTGGGAGGTGGAGGTTGCAGTGAGCCGAGATCGTGCCACTGCACTGCAGGCTGAACGACAAGAACAAAACCCCGAATCAACAACAACAACAAAAAAGGAAGATTCTAGTGGTGTCAGGGCTGAGAGGAAGGTAGGGGAAGAGCCAGATCCCAGAGCGTCCTACTGCCCCTGGTGAGGAGTTGGGATTGAAATGGGACATACTGGAGATACTGAAGTGGGAAAGGGATGGGATCTGATTTATGTTTTGTTTTGTTTTGTTTTGTTTGAGTTGGAGTCTCGCTCTGTCACCCAGGCTGGAATGCAGTGGCACGATCTTGGCTTACTGCAACCTCTGCGTCCCAGGTTCAAGCGATTCTCCCATCTCAGCCTCCTGAGTAGCTGGGACCACATGTGTAATTTTTGTATTTTTAGTAGAGATGGGGTTTCATCATGTTGGCCAGGCTGGTCTCAAACTCCTGGGCTCAAGTGATCTGCCCGACTCAGCCTCCCAAAGTGCTGGGATTACAGGCATGAGCCACCATGCCCAGCCGGTTTATGTTTAAAGGCCTCATTCTGGTTGCTGTGTTTCAAAGGGTAAATGGCAAGGGGCCAGGATGGAAGCAAGTTCAAGTGATTACAACACATACTTCATACCAGACATGCAGACACTTGGAGATAGAAGGAGCTCTGGTCCAGAGACATGGGAATGCCTTGGGAACACTGGTCCTCATCCACCTCTGCACAATGCAGGCACCTAGGGCACTGTTAACAAAATTCCAGCCACTGTGAACCAATGGAATCAGAATCTTGTAGATGGGGACCAGGCTAACAGTATCTTTACAAAACTCTTGGGATATTTTATGGGCGTCCAGGTGGAAAACCATAGTATCTGGGTAAATTCTTCAGGGCCCAAGCTCTGGCTGCTGCCTCAGACACCTTTCCAGCATGAAACATTTGTTACTACAACATCCTTTCCTAGAATGGGCTGAAATCGGCCTCTGGGGTACCTTCCCTGCACACACACTCCTGTGGGGCCAGCCTTTCCTTCCACCCCTACCATCACCCAAGGCAAACCTTGGCCAAGGGGACTGAGGGAACCCGGACTCAGGGAACATGAATGGGGAAGGGAGGAGCTGCCAGGCTTCTGGGCATGCCGTCTGCCCCGCTGCCTGGCCGTCTGCCAGGCTGGTACCCAGGAAGACTGGCGTGTGCTGCTCAGAGAGTACAGCCTCACAGCAGCAGCCGCCATGTCCCCAGGAGGTGAACTGCTGTCTTCTCCCACCCAGTCTACTCACATTGCCAGAGAATTTTAGAACTTCAGAGACTTTAGCATAAATAGTTTCATTCTAATTTAACCATGGGTTGTCGGGGGAGGGAGCCAGACACTAAATATAGCCAGTCTTGTATTTCTGGGGCACTCCTGGAAGCTTGAGAAGGGGGAAGGGAACTTGGTCGCCTACATTCTGGCAGGCTCTGTGCTATACAATTTACAGTCCTCGCAAAAGAGCTATGAAACAGATGTTGTTATTCTCACTTGGAGATTAGGGAACTGAGGTTCAAAGAGGTAAAGTAACTTGACCAAGGTCACACAGTTAGTCAGTGCTGAGGCCCCATGGAAACCGAGGTTGGCTTCACACCAAAGCTCATGCTCGGTCCATGGATGCATCTGTAGCTGCCCTGTGCTTCCTCTTGGTGTCTTTCCCCAGAATCTTCCTCCAACACCAGGAGTATCAGCATCCCTCTTTTCCGTGTTAGCCCATTGGAGGCCAGGAGGGTCGCTAGCCCAGATCCCGAAACCCTGTGACTCCTTGCTGGCCCATCACTCTGTTTCCTTCTCCTCACACCCACCCATGCCTTCTACCATGGCCAAGCCTCTTCCAGCCCTTTTCTCCTCTTCTCTCCCATTTTTCCTGCAAACCCAGGCCAGAGCACGAAGCAACCCTAAAATACTAAGAAATAGCCAAACATGTAGGTTTAAAGGTTGTCCATTAGCAGGGCGCAGTGGCTGACGCCTATAATTCCAGCATTTTGGGAGGCCGAGGCGGGCGGATCACCTGAGGTCAGGAATTCGAGACCAGTCTGGCCAACATGGTGAAACCCCGTCTCTACTAAAAATACAAAAATTAGCCAGACGTGGTGGTGTGTGCCTGTAGTCCTGACTACTTGGGAGGCTGAGGCAGGAGAATTGCTTGAGCCTGGGAGGCAGAGGTTGCAGTGAGCCAAGATCACGCCACTGCACTCCAGCCTGGGCGACAGGGCAAGACTCCGTCACCACATTAAAAAAAAAAAAAAAAAAAAAAAAAGGTCCATTTAGGTTGCCTGTTTTGATGTAGGAGTGAAGAAGGGAAGCCATCACTCCCCTGTGCCTTGATATGCTGATGACTGCTTTGCCTGCGTTCCTCTGATTTTGTGTGCTGACTCCTCAACACTGAGAAATTTCCCAACTCCCGCAGGCCTACAGAGATATCTCCTTCACAGGCTGTGCCCACAGGATAAGCATTTACCTAGGAAACAGACTTATCCCATAATAATCTCTTGCTGTTGCATATGGGTATATTAAAACTAACCCCCTCCTAGCACTTTGGGAGGCCAAGGTGGGAGGATTGCTTGAGTCCAGGAATTTGAGACCAGCCTGGGCAACACAGTGAGACCTCATTCCTATAAAATTTTTTTTTAATTAAAAAAACACTAACTCCTACCACCACCCACTCCCGCTAAACTAAAGGGTTATGTTTATACCCTTATGTGTATGTGTGTTATGTTCATGTGTGTTCCCCACTTACCCAACACTTCCGTTTTGAATGTGTTCTTGTTGACTAGATGATTGGCTGACCCTGTAGTATATAGGGACCCCTCAATTCATATCTGAAAGGTGGCACCACAGGGACTGTGGAATGTCCTTATCTCAGGTGCTCTGCCAGGCCCTCTAGGGATCTTAGTTAGTCCTCACAACAAACCTAGACAGCATTACTCCCATTTCACAGCTAAGGAAATTCAAGATCAGAAAGGATGTCACTTGCTCCAAGGTAAGACAGGGAGTAGAGAGCAGAAATGGGATTCCAGTCCGCGGTGCTCTGGTCCGCAAGACCCGCGGCATCTGAGACGCCTCATGTGCCTCATCTCTACCAGACTCGAGATGCCCCAAGGTGGAGACCAGGCTTGGGTTCCCCATGGGCCTTAGCACAGAGCCCTACATAGGGCAGTTGTATGGTAAATGTTTGCTCAGTAAATTGTCAGAGGAAGTTTACACTGATTACCAATTGTGTGAGAACCAGCACTGGGGAAAGAGGAAGTGTTTGCACAGTGATAAGGCCTATGTGCCTGATGGTACACCCCATGCCCTGGGCCAGTGGTGAGAGTGGGAGGTGGGCAGCAGAGGGGGGCAGTGCGAGACGCCTGCCCTAACAGGGCTAAGGGAAGAACTGTGGTGCCCAAGAGACCCTGGATATAGTGGAGGATAGGAGGGACATCCTGAGGGTTGACTGATTGCCAGCTCCCCGGCATCAAGACCTTCAGGTTCTTCCACTAGAAGGAGCAACAGAGACACAGGGGAGTGAGAGGGAGGCAGCCTCTCAATGGACACAGGGTCACCTGGGGGCTGTGGGGGAAGCCAGCCAGAGTGGCTGTGTGTGAGGAGAGGACTCTGAATGGGGATGCTGGGCCAGGCGGCATTTGGGTTTGGGAGACCCTGGGAACAGAGGTAGCATTTGAGAGAGCTTCTCAGGAAGGTGGAGGAGGAATGTGGCCTGATTCATCACCTCTGAGAAAAGGACATTTTCTCGGAAGGCCCAGACCAAGAATGCAACAGAAAGGCATAGTTTGAAGGGATCAGATAAAACTTTTTTTTTTTTTTGAGATGGCATCTCGCTCTGTCACCCAGGCTGGAGTGCAGTGGTGTGATCCCAGCTCACTGCAACCTCCACCTCCTGGGTTCAAGCGATTCTCCCACCTCAGCCTCCGCAGTAGCTGGCACCACAGGTGCACACCACCACACTCAGCTAATTTTTGTATTTATAGTAGAGAAGGAGTTTCACCATGTTGCCCAGGCTGGTCTTGAACTCCTGACCTGCCTGCCTCAAGTGATCTGCCTGCCTCGGCCTCCCAAAGTGCTGGGATTATAGGCGCGAGCCACCACGCCCCGCCCAGAAAAGATGGAACTTGATGTAAGGAAGCTATGTGATGGGAGGTTTAGGGAGTTGGTTCAAGGGGATGGTGGGCCTGATGACCACAGGGGGAATGTCTTCGGGGTCAAGTAGAAATGCAGAATAGCCATAAAGTTGGGGCCCAAGCTGATATTTCACGTCCCTGCCTTGCCCTTCACTGGCTATAGGACTTCGAGCAAGTTACTTAACCTGTCTGACCCTCAATTTCCCTATAAATGAAATGGGAGATAATAATATTACATGACTTATACCCTTGTTATAAGGATGAAATGAGATAAAGCTTGACCTGAGTTTGGCGCAGGGCCTGGAAGAAAAAAAGGTCCAAACAACATTAATAATAATTAATGATGGTGGAAAGATCAGCATATGTTCCTGGAAGAGAGGGATCCAGAAATATAGTTAATAATAATATTAATAATAATAGCCACCTATAATAATAATAAATGCCTATAATCCCAGCACTTTGGGAGGCTGAGGTGGGTGGATCATGAGGTCAAGAGTTTGAGACCAGCCTGGCCAATACAGTGAAACCTCATCTCTACGAAAAATAGAAAAATTAGCCAGGTATGGAGGCACACACCTGTAGTCCCAGCTACTTGGGAGGCTGGGGCAGGAGAATGGCTTGAACCCAGGAGGCAGAGTTTGCAGTGAGCCAAGATCACACCACTGCACTCCAGCGTGGGTGACAGAGTGAGACTCTGTCTCAAAAATAATGATAATAATAACAATAGTTTTTTTAAAAATAAGCCATTGCCAGCCTGTTCTGTTTCATGACAGCTTACATTTACTAAGTGTATACCATGTGATAGATACTGTTCTAAGAAGTTGGGAAGAGTGGAAATTATTCCAGCACTGTAATGCCAGCACTTGGGAGGCTGAAGCAGGAGAATCACTTGAGCCCAGGAGTTTGAGACCTGCCTGGCCAACACAGTGAGACCTCGTCTCTACAAAAATCTCTAAAAATTAGCCAGGTATGGTGATGTGCACCTGTAGTCCCAGCTGCTTGGGAGGCTGAGGATCTCTTGAGCCTGGGAAGTCAAGTCTACAGTGAACTATGATCACACCACTGCACTCCAGCCTGCATGACAGAGCGATACCCTGTCTCAAAAAAAAAAAAAAGACATTGTTCTAAGCACTTTACATGCTTTATTTCATTTAATCCTCCCCACAAACTTATGAAGTAGGCACTATAATTATCTTCATTTACATGAGGAAGCAGAGATGCAGAGAGTCCAGGTAACTATCCTGAAGTCACGCAGTTAATGGATAGTAGAGCTTGGATTTGGTTGTGTCTTTGTCCATTTTGTGTTGCCATAACAAAACGCCACAGACTGGATAATTCATAATGAATAGAAATGTATTTGACTTACAATTATGGAGGCTGGGAAGTCCAAGAGCATGGCCCCAGCCTCTAGCAAGGGTCTTCATGCTGCGTCATCTCATGGTGGAAGGCAGAATGGCAAGAGAGGGTGAGAGCAAGAGACACAGAGGGCCAAACTCATTTTTATAACAACCCACTCTCACAATACCAGTCTTACTCCTATGATAATGACATTAATCTACTCATTAGGGCAGAGCTCTCATGGCCCAATCACCTCTTAACAATTCCATCTCTTAACACCGTCATCGTAGTGGCAATTACATTTCAACATGAGTTTTGGAGGGGACATTCAAACCATAGAATTCTACCCCTGGCCACACAAACCTCATGTCCTTCTTACATACAAGATGCATTCACTCCATCCCAATTGTCCCAAAAGTCTTAACTCATTCTAGCACCAACTCAAAAGTCCAAAGTTTCATCTGAATTAGATAGGGGCGAGATTCAAGGTATAATTCATCCCAAAGCACATTCCTCTCCAGTTGAGAGCCTGTGAAATTAACAAGTTTATGTACTTCTAAAATACAATAGTGGGTAGGCATAGGATAGACGTTCCCATTCCAAAAGGGAGAAATTTAAGAAGAAATGTGTAATTGGTCCCAAGTAAATCCAAGACCCAACAAGGAAAAAGGGAAAACAACATTAAGTCTTTTTTCTTTCCCTCTCTTTTTGAGACAGAGTCTTACTCTGTCACCCAGGCTGGAGTGCAGTGGCAAAATCATGGCTCACTGCAGCCTTGACATCCCAGCCTCGGCAATCCCCCACCACAGCCCCCTGAGTAGTTGAGACCACAGGAATGCAACATCACACCTAGCTAATTTTTTTTTTTTTTTTTTTTTTTTTTTTTTTTTTTGCAGATATAGAGTCTCTCTGTGTTGCCCAGGCTGGTCTCCAACTCCTGGGCTCAAGTGATCCTCCACCTCAGCCTCCCAAAGTGCTGGGATTACAGGCATGAGCCACTGCACCTGGCCATAACATTAAGTCTTAAAGCTCCAGAATAATCTTCTTTGACTCCATGTCCCACCCTTCTAGGCACACTGGGGTGGGGATTGGGCCCTATGGCTTCACTGGCCTCAGTTTAACCAGCAGTTATCATGGGTTGGAGTCACATGCTTGTAGCTCTTTCAGGCTGATGCTGCAAGCTGGTACCTCCACAATTCTGGGGTCTCAAGAGTGGCCTCATTCCCATGGCTCCACTAGGTATTGCCCTAGTGGGGACTCTGGGGCAGCTCTGACCCCACATTTCTGCTCAACACTGCCCTAGTATGGGGCCTCTGTGGGCTCTCTACAGTGCTCCTGCAATTCTTCTCTGCTTGGGCCCCTGGGCTAAGATATCCTTTGAAATTTTGTAGAGGAAGCCATGTCCCTACAGCTCTTGCATTCTACATGGCTGCAGAAGTAGCACCATGTGGACACACCACCAAGGTTTACCACTGTTTGTTTGTTTGTTTGTTTGTTTGTTTGTTTTGAGACAGAGTCTCACTCTGTTGCCAGGCTGAGTGCAGTGGCACGATCTCAGCTCACTGCAACCTCCGCTTCCTGGGTTCAGGCGATTCTCCTGCCTCAGCCTCCCGAGTAGCTGAGACTACAGGTGCCCACCACCACGCCAGGCTAATTTTTGTATTTTTAGTAGAGACAGGGTTTCACCATGTTGGTCAGGTGGGTCTCAAACTCCTGACCTTGTGGTCCACCTACTTCGGCCTCCCAAAGCGCAGGGATTACAGGCATGAGCCACTGCATCCAGCCTGGTTTTTTTCTTTGTTTTTCTTTTCTTTTCTTTTTTTTTTTAAGACAGATTTTCACTTTTGTTGCCCAGGCTGGAGTGCAATGGCATAATCTCAGCTCACTGCAATATACGCAACCTCTGCTTCCCGGGTTCAAGCAATTCTCTTGCCTCAGCCTCCCGAGTAGCTGGAACTATAGGCACGTGCCACCACTACTGGCTAATTTTTTTTTTTTTTTTTTTTTTTTTTGACGGAGTCTTGCTTTGTCGCCAGGCTGGAGTGCAATGGTGCAATCTCGGCTCACTGCAACCTCTGCCTCCCGGGTTCAAGTGATTCTCCTGCCTCAGCCTCCTGAGTAGCTGGGACTGCAGGTGTGTGCCACCACCATGCCCAGCTAATTTTTGTAGTTTTAGTAGAGATGGGGTTTCACCATGTTGGCCAGGATGGTCTCAATCTCTTGACCTTGTGATCCACCTGCCTTGGCCTCCCAAAGTGCTGGGATTACAGGCGTGAGCCACCACGCCCAACCTAATTTTTTGTATTTTTAGTAGAGATGGGGTTTCACCATGTTGGCCAGGCTAGTCTTGAACTCCTAACCTCAGGTGATCCACCCGCCTTGGCCTCCCAAAGTGCAGGGATTACAGGCATGAGCCCTTGCACCCGGTCTGTTTTTTTGTTTTTCTTTCTTTCTTTTTTGTTTTTTTTAGACAGATTTTCACTCTTGTAGCCCAGGCTGGAGTGCAATGGCTCAATCTCGGCTCACTGCAATATATGCAACCTCTGCCTCCCGGGTTCAAGCAATTCTCTTGCCTCAGCCTCCCGAGTAGCTGGAACTATAGGTACGTGCCACCACTCCTGGCTAATTTTTTTTTTTTTTTTTTTTTTTTTTGACGGAGTCTTGCTTTGTCGCCAGGCTGGAGTGCAGTGGTGCAATCTCGGCTCACTGCAACCTCTGCTTCCCGGGTTCAAGTGATTGTCCTGCCTCAGCCTCCTGAGCAGCTGGGACTGCTGGTGTGTGCTACCACCACGCCCAGCTAATTTTTGTATTTTTAGTAGAGATGAGGTTTCACCATGTTGGCCAGGATGGTCTCAATCTCTTGACCTTGTGATCCACCCACCTTGGCCTCCCAAAATGCTGGGATTACAGGCGTGAGCCACCACGCCCAACTTAATTTTTTGTATTTTTAGAAGAGATGGCCAACCATGTTGGCCAGGCTAGTCTCAAACTCCTGACCTCAGGTGATCCACCCGCCTTGGCCTCCCAAAGTGCAGGGATTACAGGCATGAGCCACTGTGCCTAGCCAAGGTTTACCTCTTAGATGTTTTAGTGGGTCAAGTATCACCTGGGCCTGCATGAGCCATGGCTGGGGCGGCTAAGGAGTGCCGCACCAGAATTCATGGAGCAGACCAAAGATAGTTCTGGGCAATGAGCCAGAGGGCTCCCAGACCAGTCTCCTGAAACCCTTCTGCCCTCCTAAAGCTCTGGGCCTGAGCAGCAGCCTTGAAACTCCCTGTAATACCTTTAGAGTCATTCTCCCATTGTTTTGATGATCCTTTCTGGGTTTTTTTTATTTTTTATTTATTTATTTTATTTTATTTTTTATTTATTTTTAGACGGATTCTTGCTCTGTCGCCCAGGCTGGAGTGCAGTAGTACCATCTTGGCTTACTGCAACCTCCACCTCCTAGGTTCAAGCGATTCTCCTGACTCTGCTTCCCAAGGAGCTGAGACTATGGGCACACACCACCGCACCTGGCTAATTTTTTTTTTTTTTTTTTTTTTGAGATGGAGTCTTGCTCTGTCACCCAGGCTGGAGTTCAGTGGCACAATCTCGGCTCACTGCAACCTTGGCCTCCCGGGCTCAAGCAATTCTTCTGCCTCAGCCCACAGAGTAACTGGAGCTACAGGCATGCGCCACCATGCCCGGCTAATTTTTGTACGTTTAATAGAGACAGGGTTTCACCATATTGGCCAAGCTAATCTTGAACTCCTGATCTTGTGATCTGCTCGCCTCAGCCTCCCAAAGTGCTGGGATTACAGGCATGAGCCACCGCGCCTGGCATTTTTTTTTTTTTTTTTTTAGATGGAGTTTCGCTCTTGTTGCCCAGGCCTGGAGTGCAATGGCACGATGTCGGCTCACCCCAACCTCCACCTCCCGGGTTCAAACGATTCTCCTGACTCAGCCTCCCGAGTAGCTGGGCTTACAGGCAAGTGCCACCATGCCTGGCTAATTTTGTATTTTTAGTAGAGATGGGGTTTCTCCATGTTGGTCAGGCTGGTCTCGAACTGCTGACCTCAGTTGATCCGCCTGCCTTGGCCTCCCAAAGTGCTGGGATTACAGGTGCGAGTCACTGCGCCCAGCCTAATTTTTGTGGTTTTTTTTAAGTAGAGATGGGGTTTCACCATGTTGGCCTGGCTGGTTTCAAACTCCTGACCTCAAGATCTGCCCACCTTGGCCTCCCTAAGTGCTGAGATTACAGGCATGAGCCATCATGCCTGGCCTAAAATGCACACTCTTGAGCCCCATCCCTAGAAGGCCTGATTCATTGAAAGCAGTGACAGTGGGGGCTAGGGCAGAAAGGACAGACATGTATATTTTTAACCAACTCCTGAGGTGATTCTGATGCAGGTGGTCTAGAGGCAAGAGGAAAAGACATGTACAATATGGGCGTAACTAAATGGCTTGGTGGAAAAATCATGTCTATGTGGTAGGAACTGGCAAGCCCTCCTGGACAAGGTAGCATTCCATCTGGGCTTTAAGGATGGGAAGGATTTTATACATTCTTCTACACTTTTCCATCTGGAGGCTGATTGGGTGCCCACCCCCTCTCCCCTAACCCTCAAAGACATGTTGAAGTCCTAATTTCTGGAACCTGTGAAGGTAACCTTATTTGGCAAAAGAGTCTTTGCAGATGTAATTAAATTAAGGATCTTGAGATCATCCTGGATTCTCTGGATGGGTCCTAAGTCCAATGAAAAGTGTCTTTATGAGACACAGAGAGAAGAGAGAAGGCCATGTGAAGACAGAAGCAGAGATTGTAATGATGCAGCCACAAGCCAAGGAATGCCTGGAACCACCGAAGAGGCAAGGAAGGATTCTCCCTTAGAGCCTTCAGAGAGATTGCATCCCTGCCAACACCTTGATTTCAGACTTCTGGCTTCCGGATCTGTGAAAGAAAATATTTTCTGTTGTTTTCAGCTACCCAGTCTGTGTTCATTTGTTACAGCAACCGGCACTTTGGGAGGAAACGAACACAGTCTTTCATCCTAGTCCCAAAAGCTGCTCTGGGGAGGTCTTTGCAACTACATTCGCCCCATGGAGGTCAGAGCCTGCAGACACTTGAGCCGTGCTTGCCAAATACCTGGCTGGGACCCCAGACCCTGAAGGAGGATGGTGAAGCACAACTGTTAGTGATGTAGTATCATCGTCCTTCTGAACTTGATACTTCTTCACTTCTCTTTGGATGCAGATTGGAAGAAGTCAAAGAAAGGCTCGTTCTCAGTTTCTGCCTTCACATTTTACAAGGGAGGAAGTCAACATCTAGAAAGGGTAACTATCAGCCCAAGGCCACCCAGCAAGTGGGTGGCAAAGGCAAAGCCTCTGTCCAGAGCACACTCCTGTGGGTTGCCCAGTCTGTATCATTAAGGTCTGGTTGTGATAATGACGTAATAATGTTACTTTAATTTTACTCCAAGAAAAGTTGATTGCCTCTAATGACTTTGCTTGGTGGTCAGTCTTCTTGTCTCTGACCAACATGTGGGTAGTGGCTTTTAACCTCTGGCTTAGAAATGAGGATGGTCTTCTTCCCCATAGTTGTGTCTTCTGCTTTAGGGATACAAGTTGAGCTATCTTTGGAAGCCGTCATCCAAAATGCAGAAGTTGGCCATCTGTAGAACTGACAGCACTGGTTGCGGTTTTGAAACACCAAATGTTGGAGAAGTGCGTCTTTAGAAAGGTTATTAATACTTCCTTTGTCCACGTGCCACGATGACTTTCTGTAAGGGAGAAGAAAAAAGCTCCCCCATGTGCCTGTGCAGAGAGCTTCCTCCTCTTCTCAAGTCCTCCTAGCTTCCCATTCCTCCCTCTTTGCTAAAACTTGAGCTGGTAGCACATGGCCAGCAGAGGAATGAACCTTGTCCTCAAGCTGGTATTGCAGGTACTCTACTTACCAGAAGACAAATTCACATAGCATTCTAGGTGAAAGGGTGGCAGTGCTTCAGTGGGGGAAACAGGATTGTAAATCAAACTGAGCAATATTTATTGAGAGCATGCTACATGAAAGGTATTGAAAGGTTAGGTGCTGAGATAGGAATGGGCAAGCATTACTTTGGAGCATTGGTTTTCAACTATGGATGTACATTGAATCACAGGGGAGATTTTAAAAAAATACTGATACCCAGGTTACATCCCACATCAATTACATCAGAATGTCCGGGAGTGGGAGACAGGCATCGGTATTTTCTGGGGTTTTTTTTTTGTTGTTGTTGTTTTTTTTGAGACAAGGCCTCGCTTTGTCACCTAGGCTGGAGTGTGGTGGTGCAATCTCGGCTCACTGCAACCTCCACCTTCTGGGTTCAAGCTATTCTCCTGCCTCAGCCTCCCAAGTAGCTAGGGTCACAGGTGCATGCCACCACGCCTGACTATTTTTTGTATTTTCAGTACAGATGGGGTTTCGCCATGATGGCCAGGCTGGTCTGGAACTCCTGACCTCTGATGATCCACCCGCCTTGGCCTCCCAAAGTGCTGGGATTACAGGCGTGAGCCACCGTGCCCAGCCAGCATCAGTGGTTTCTAAAGATCCCCAGATGATTTCCAATGTGCAGCAAAGTTAGGGAACCACTGAAACATACTATTTCCATGTGCCATACCCGGATGTTTTGTTTTCATTCATCTAAGTTGGTAGTTTTTAAAAACTGCTCAGGTGATACTCAGAGACCATTCATTCCAGTAGATAATACAAAGAATATAGGCCAGGCACGGTGGCTCACGCCTGTAATCCCAGCACTTTAGGAGGCTGAGGTGGGTGGATCACCTGAGGTCAGGAGTTCAAGACCAGCCTGGCCAACATGGTGAAACCCCGTCTCTACTAAATATATGAAAAATTAGCCGGGTGTGGTGGCACGCACCTGTAATCCCAGCTACTCGGGAGGCTGAGGCAGGAGAATCGCTTGAACCGGGGAGGCAGAAGTCGCGGTGAGGCCAGATTGTGCCATTGTACTTCAGCCTGGGCAAAAAGAGTGAAACTCGATTTCAAAAAAAAAAAGAAGAATGCAGTCATACAGGCAATATCAAGATGCCTGCAGCTGGTACTCTTTTTCCATCTATATGGTCCATCTCTCTCACAGGATGGAGCTTTTGTTGAAGGATAATGAGTTTCAGCAGATTTCAGAGCCAACCAGTGATGGTGGATGCCAGATACTGACCTCTTAATGGCCTGGAGAGGAAAACCAAAACTTTCTCAGAACCAGGAATGAAGATCTATAACGATGTAGTTCTTCACTCTAGACCACAGAACTTTAAGGTTTCAGAACCCTTTTGAAGTAATCCCAAGCCCTCTGAGAATCTTCTTGTACTCAGGCTTCAGGCACAGCTGTGTCCAGGTGCTGAATGTAGCTAGTGTTTGGAGATGGATGCGTTTTGACTCTCCATTAATCCTCCTTTGGAGGTCTCAACTCTGGAGCTATTTCTCAAAGCTCTGAGCAACTTTCCCATTTCTTTCTTTCTCAATATTTTTTCCCCTTCCTTTGTAGGTCTACAGACATAAGGTAAACCAGGGCCCCCACAGTTCCCACTGGTCCGTCCTTACCCCACCTCTTTCTCCCATAGAGTCTCATCTTTACAATTCTATTTTTCTTTTTGTCTCTTGGTTCCTCCACTCAGACTAGTTCAGTGGATTTCTTTTTCCCTCATTCCTTCCTTGGGATATTGTCTTCCTGGCCTCTAGGACTTCATCTCTCTGCACCAGGACCTGGGGCCAAAGCTCTTCATAAGCAAGTAATGCTTATGGGGCAGAGGAGATGCCTCTCTTCTTTTAGTCCTGTTCTTTTCAACTTTGGTTTATTTTCAAAGAATACGAGTAGTGGTGATCGTTCATGTAATGGTTCTTGCATTTTCTGAACTTGTTCTTTTGAGACACATCTTATGTATTTTGCTTGCATCATCTCTAAAATTCTTCCTAATAAATTTTGTTGTTGTTGTTAAATCCAGCCCACTTATATCAATCACTAGAAGAACTTTGGTCCTGGCATTCAGACTTACAGGTTATATAATAGCATCTAAGACAGGGTTCTAATTGTTTATCTCAACAATATCCTGTAGAAAACATTGATAAAGGGCATTAACTGTCACGAGAAGCTGGTGGGGGTTGTTCTGAAAAAAACTTTCTCAAACTGTTTTTTTCCTCTCCTCTCACAGGAACATAACAATCAACACAGAAAAAGTTTTTTTTTTTTTGTTTTTTTTGTTTTTTTTTTTTTTTGCTGGAGTGCAGTGGTATGATCTTGGCTCACTGCAACCTCCACCTCCTAGGTTCAAGCAATTCTTCTGCCTCAGCCTCCTGAGTAGCTGGGATTACAGGCACCCACCATCATGCCCGGCTAATTTTTGTATTTTTAGTAGAGAAGAGGTTTCGCCATGTTGGCCAGGCTGGTCTCGAACTCCTGACCTCAAGTGATCCTCCCATCTCAGCCTTCCAGAGTGCTAGGATTACAGGTGTGAGCCACCATGCCTGGCCCAGAAGAAGACTTTTGAGTTCAAATGTATGAAAGTTTTTCCTCACATACCAAGCAGCGGGGCATCCTCTGATTCAACTGCAACACCATCTACCTGGAGATAGCATCAGATCCTACAGGATGAGGGCTCTGTCCCCAAGACTTCCCCCAACTCCGCCCCCAACCAAACCAAAGTCCAGGCCTTCGGAACTTCTACCCAATGGGCTTTAAGTAGGGTTTCCACAACTCCCTCTTTGAGTTTGATTAATTTGCTGGAGAGGCTCATAGAACTCAGGGAAACAGTTAAGTTTTTTGGCTTATTATAAAGGATATTACAAAGGATACAGATAAGAGATGTGTAGGAAGAGGTATAGGGGAAGGAGCAGGAAGCTTCTACGCCCTCCCTGGGTGCTCCACCTTCGAGGAGCCTCCATGTGTTCAGTTATCTGGAAGCTCCCAAAACCAGTCCTCTTGGGCTTTTACGGAAACTTCATGATGTCAACATTCCTTCCCCCAGGGAATAGGGAAGGACCCTCTCTGGGGAAGGTCTTAGGACCCGCAACCAGAAAGGTGGGGGAAAATTAGAGTCCTGCCTTGGGGCAGGTGAAAGGAGAGCAGAAGAAGGTCAGCAAGATTCTATTACCTGAGGCCTGCCTCTGAGGACTGACACACCCAACATTACAACAAAAAACTGTAACAAGGGCTATGGGAGTTATGAGCCAGAAACTTGGGAGAAAAATCATATGTATACCACAGGGGTTCATGTTTCCCACCTAGGCAGATAAAAATATAGCACCATACCATGGGAATCTGGAAAAGAAAATAAATCTTGTTTTTTTATTTTTTCTTTTTTTTTTTTGAGAGGGACTTTCAGGTTTCACTCTTGTTGCCCAGGCTGAAGTGCAATGGCGCAGTCTCGGCTCACTGCAGCCTCCACCTCCCGGGTTCAAGCGATTCTCCTGCCTCGGCCTCCCAAGTACCTGAGATTACAGGCTCCCGCCACCATGCCTAATTTTTTGTATTTTTAGTAGAGAGAGGTTTCACCATGTTGGCCAGGCTGGTCTCGAACTCCTGATCTCACGTGATCCACATGCCTCAGCCTCCCAAAGTGCTGGGATTATAGGCATGAACTACCACACCCGACTGATAAAAATCTTGTTTTTTCAAGCAAAATGAGTTGGGAGAGGCTAGTGGATCTTTTACTAGCCTCTGAGTGAAAGTAGAGAAAGAGTGCCCAAGAATTTAAAACTTCTTAGTAGAGTGGAAACTAAATCGTAAATACCAAGTTTTATCAAATGTAATGACAAAAATTGGTCTGCAGTTAGGAGCTCTCATTTCTATTTTCAGCTCTAACACTGACTCATTGTATGACTTGAGGCAAGTCACTAAGCAGTTTCAGACCTCAGCTTCTCCATATAAAAAATGGCAATTAAAATGTTGTACCTACTACATAGAGGAACTAGCATTTATGGAGCAACTGCTCTATGTTCATCTCGTGCTAGGAGCTTTATAATATGTTGTATTTCATTTATTCGATAAGTATTTGTTGAGCACCAACTATGGACAGGATATTGTGCCTGATCTCAGGGAAAGATCAGGCAAAAATCAAAGCCCTTGCTCTTCTGAGCTTAAATTCCAGTAGGGTGGGGTGATAATAAACAAGAAAGATATATATATAAGATACTTTCAAACAGTGACAAGAGCCATGTAGATAATAAAACCAGGGCCGGGTGCAGTAGCTCACACCCATAATCCCAGCACCTTGGGAGGCAGAGGCTGGAGGATTGCTGGAGCTCAGGAGTCTGAGACAAGCCTGGGAAACAGAGTGAGACCTCATCTCTACTAAAAAAAAAAAATTAGCCAGGTGTGGTGGCGTGTGCCTGTAGTCCCCAGCACTGGGGAGGCTGAGGTGGGAGAATCGCTTGAGCCAGGGAGATGGAGGCAGCACTGAGCTATGATGGCGCCGCTGCACTCCAGCCTGGGTTACAGAGCAAGACCCTGTCCCTAAAAAAAAAAAAAAAAAAAAAAGAGCCGGGCGCGGTGGCTCACACCTGTAATTCCTGCACTTTGGGAGGCCAAGGCAGGCAGATCACTTGAGGTCAGGAGTTCAAGACCAGCTTGACCAACATGGTGAAACCCCATCTCTACTAAAAATACAAAAATTATCCAGGCACAGTGGCAAGTGCCTGTAGTCCCAGCTACTTGGGAGGCTGTGGCATGAGAATCGTTTGAACCCAGGAGGCGGAGGTTGCAGAGAGCCGAGATCATGCCACTGCACTCTAGCTTGGGCAACAGAGGGAGACCTCCATCTCAAAAAAAAGAAAAAAAAAGAGAGAAAAATAAAGATAATAAAACCAGATAATGTGGTAGAAAGTAACCCAAGGGGGGGGATACTTATGTGGGGTGGTGACATTCAGTTGGGACCCAAATGATGAGAAGCAGTCAGCAGAGTATATGAGACAACAGCTGAGGAGAGCTCCAGGTAGGCAGCAAGGTCCAAGGCTCTGATGCAGGTAGGGGCTTAAACTGTTTGGAAGGCCAGGTAAGACATTAATGGGTAGGATAATCACAGAGAGGCAGGCATGAGCCAGAACACAGTGGCCTCAGCCTTCAGGCTGTGGCTGGGTGTTTGGATTTTAATCTAGTTGATCTGCTTTACTTAAAAAAAAAAAAAAATCAGAGAAAAAAAGAAAAAAAAATCATTCTGGGTATGTTAATGAGTACGATTATTGTCAGGCAATAATAAAAGCAGAGATAACCATTAAGGAGGCTGTTGTCTTGTTTGCTTAACTGACAGAAATAAATTTTTCTGTAAAAGGTCAGATAGCAAATATTTCAGGCTTGCAGGTCACTTGAGCTCTCTATTGCACATTCTTCTCTTCTTTCTCCTCCTCCTTTTTTTTTTTTAACAGCCCTCAAAAAATGTAAAAGCCATTCTTAGCTCTTGCACAATAGAAAAACAGGAGGTTGCATGCCAGATTTGGCCTGCCTAGCTAGGCAGCAGTTTATGGACCCCTAGCTTATAGAGAAGTAGAAACTGACCAGCATACATTTTAGGACCCAATCCAGAACTGACGGGACTTGATGAACTGACTCTGTCTGGGGAGAAGGTTAGTTAAAGAGGAAACAAGAATGGTGTCATTGACTAGGCAGAAGGTGGTGCCATTTACTGAGATGCGGAAGAAGTAGATTTGGGAGCGGGGTGGGGGAAGAGGGGAGAAGGGAAATCAAGAGTTAAGTATGAATTGCCTATTAGTCCTTCAAGTGGAGATGTCAAGTAGGGAGCTCGATATAGACTCTGGAGCTTATGAGAGAGGTCAGGAGATCCATGTTTGGGAATTATCAGTCTACAGACACATTTAAAGTCATGGGATTGGGCTGGGGATGGTGGCTCATGCCTGTAATCCTAGCACTTTAGGAGGCCAAGAAGGGTGGATCACCTGAGGTCAGGAGTTCGAGACCAGCCTGACCAATATGGTGAAACACCATCTCTACTAAAAATACAAAAATTAGCTGGGCTTGGTGTCGTGCTCCTGCAGTCCCAAGTCCCAGTTACTCGGGAGGCTGAGACAGGAGAATTGCTTGAATCTGAGAGGCAAAGGTTGCAACGAGCCGAGATTGCGCCACTGCACTACAGCCTGGAGGACAGAGCACGATTCCATCTCAGAAAAAATAAAAAATCTAAGGCTGGGCGCGGTGGCTCACACCTGTGATCCCTGCACTTTGGGAGGCCGAGGTGGGCAGATCACCTGAGGTCAGGAATTCGAGACCAGCCTGACCAACATGGAGTAACCCTGTCTCCACTAGAAATACACAATTAGCCAGATGTGGTGGTGCATGCCTGTAATCCCAGCTACTCGGGAGGCTAAGACAGGAAAATCACTTGAACCCTGGAGGCGGAGGTTGCAGTGAGCTGAGATTGCACCATTGCACTCCAGCCTGGGCAACAAGAGTGAAACTCTGTCTCAAAAAAATAAAAATAAATAAAAAATATAAAAATAAAGTCATGGAATTGTATGACATCACCTGGAATGCAGCAGAAGTTTCCAGGACCAGGTCCTGGGGGACTCTAACATTTAGAAGACCCATTGAAGAGGCCCTTGGAATCACTCTCTGGGTCAAAGAGTATGGCATGTGGCAAATATTGCCAAATTGCTCTCCAAAGGGGTCTTTTGTATCCTCACAAAACCCATCTTGTCTTAGCTATGTAAACACACACTCCATGTGGTGCTATACACATGAGTAGGCAGGAACAACTAAGTCAGGAATCCTTGATGGCTTCTGCATGGAGCTGGGGAGTCTCAAGCCACACTGCAGGATTAGGCTGGTGCAAGGAGGTGTCAGGAAAGGGTCTAAGCACTCCCAACCACAGAATCACTAAGCAAGCTTGTTACAAATGCAGATTTTTCTTTTTTTCTTTTTTCTTTTTTTTTTTTTTTTTTTGAGACATGGTCCCACTCTGTCACCCAGGCTGGAGTGCAGTGGTGTGATCTTGGCTCACTGCAACCTCTGCCTTCTGGGCTTAAGCAATCTTCCACTTCAGCCTCCAGAGTAGCTGCGACTACAGGCATACACCACTATGTCCAGCTAATTATTGGTATCTTTTGTAGAGATGGGGTTTTGCCATGTCACCCAGGCTGGTCTGGAACTCCTGGACTCAAGCAATCTGCCTGCCTCAGCCTCCCAAAGTGCTGGGATTATAAGCGTGAGCCACTGTGCCCAGCCCGAATGCAAATTTTTAGTAAGAGCTTCTGATTCACCATCTGGGGTGAGGTGTATTTTAAACATGCCCCCTCTTACACAAAGGAAAATTTGAGAAACCTATGGCTTAGGGATAGATTGGCAGAGGGTGTCTTCATGATATTTCTTCACCTCCAGAGGCTCCAGTGGCTCAGGAATCTTAGGTGGATTTGGCTGGGGAAGTTTCAGGATGACAGGACGGCAGAAGACTGCTGGCCAGAGAGAAGCATTTACTGTAGTTATGGGACACTTTCCATTTGCTCTCCAAGTCAAATGAGGCCTTTCTACCATGCAGATGTAAAACGGTATCTTTTTTTTTTTTTTTTTTGAGTTGGAGTCTCGCTCTGTCGCCCAGGCTGGAGTGCAGTGGCGCAATCTCAGCTCACTGTAACCTCTGCCTCCTGCGTTCAAGCGAATCTCGTGCCACAGCCTCCCAAGTGGCTGGGATGCAGGCGTGAGCCACCACACCCAGCCAATTTTTGTATTTCTAGCTGAGATGGGATTTCACCATGTTGGCCAGGCTGGTCTCGAACTCCTGACCTCAAGTGATCTGCCTGCCTCAGCCACCCAAAATGTTGGGATTATAGGCGTGAGCCACCGCGTCTGGCCCAATGGTAACTTCTTTTTTTTTTTTTTCTTGAGATGAGTCTCGCTCTTTCGCCAGGCTGGAGTGCCATGGCGCAATCTCAGCTCACTGCAACCTCCACCTCCCAGGTTCAAGCAATTCCCCTGCCTCAGCCTCCCAAGTAGCTAGGACTACAGGCACGTGTCACCACGCTGGGCTAATTTTTTGTATTTTAGTAGAGACGGGGTTTCACCATGTTGGCCAGGATGGTCTCCATCTCCTCCTGACCTCATGATCCGCCTGCCTCAGCCTCCCAAAGTGCTGGGATTATAGGCTTGAGCCACGATGCCCGGCCGGTAACTTCTTTAACACAGGTGCAGGCTTAAAAGTCTTGGTTCCATTCCACAGCATACAGAGGAGAATTGTTTTTGTTTGTTTGTTTTTCTGTGTCCTTATATAGAAACAAGAGTGTATTTTCCATTTTTTTTAAGAAAAGATAGACATGTTGGTGACACTGAAACTGTACCTATGCTTTAGATACATTATGGATTAAACAAATTTATGTGAAAACAGCTAAAGAATAATGGGAGAAATTTGTGGTTGCGCTTTCTAAGGTACCAGTCTTAAATTCATTGTACCATTATTTATTGTACCTAAGTGCTAGGCACTGTTTTAGGTTCAGAAGATAAAACAGTGAAAAAATAGATAAAAATCCCTGCCCTCACAAAACAGACATTCTAGTTAGGGAGACAGACTAATAAACACAATAAGTAAGTAAAATGTATGCTTTATTTGATAGTAATGAGTGCTAAGGGGAAAATTATAAAGGAGGGAAGAAAGACAGGAGGTGTTGGAGGATGGGGATAAGTAAGACTACAGGACAAGAAAGGACTGGAAGCCGGGCGCAGTGGCTCACACCTGTAATCCCAGCACTTTGGGGGCTGAGGTGGGCAGATCGCAAGGTCAGGATGTTCAAGACCAGCCTGACCAACATGGTGAAACCCTGTCTCTTCTAAAAATACAAAAATTAGCCGGGCATGGTGGTGCGCGCCTATAATCCCAGCTACTCAGGAGGCTGAGGCAGGAGAATCACTTGAACCCAGGAGGGGCAGGTTGTGGTGAGCTGAGATCGCACCACTGCGCTCTAGCCTGGGCAACAGAGCCAGACTCCATCTCAAAAAAGAAAAGAAAGGACTTGAGAGCTGTGACACAGAAAAGTAACTGCTGTGCATCTGAGTTTCTTCATCTTTAAAATAAGAAATAATAGCATCTTCCTGAGGATAGCTCAGGCCCCTAGACTGCTTTTGTCACTTTTAAGCTTATGAGGTTTGGGGTACTGACAAAGATTCTCTCCTTGACCAAACTTTACCCACGCTGTTCTGATCTGTCTTCTCAATAGGCTCTGACTTTTGGACTTCCATGACTCTGCATTGTCCAATTTTAGGAAGAATCCTGCTAAGTTAGTTTAGCCAGAATCTCCCCTTACTCCCAATATTTCCTTTTAGTAATTTTCCATCCACTGACCCTGATTTTTGGCTGTAAATCCCTACTTTTCCTTGTATTTGGAATTGAGCCCGATCTCTCCTTCCTACTACAAAACCCCATTGTCATAGGCCCTTGTATTACCTATCTTGGCAGTCCCCCTTGAATAAAGATTTGCTTTACAATTTTTTTTTTTTTTTTGAGAAGGAGTCTCGCTCTGTCGTCCAGGCTGGAGGGCAATGGTGTGATCTTGGCTCACTGCAACCTCCACCTCCTGGGTTCAAGCAATTCTCCTGTCTCAGCCTCCCAAGTAGCTGGGATTACAGGTATCCACCACCATGCCCGGCTAATTTTTTGTATTTTTAGTAGAGATAAGATTTCATTATGTTGGCCAGGCTGGTTTCGAACCCCTGACCTCAAGTTATCCGCCCGCCTTGGCCTCCCAAAGTGCTAGGAGTACAGGTGTGAGCCACCGCCTCTGGCCTGCTTTACAGTTCTTTAACAAATGTCATGAAGTATTTTTTCTTTAACAGTATAATTATTTGGCCTCTCAGAACCTCGGTTTCCTCATCTGTAAAATGAACAGATTGTCCAGACTATTTCACAGGGTTTTTGAAAATGTCAGAGGAGATCATTATGATATGTGAAAATATTTTAAATTGCATTATCTATTATGTAAATGTAAGATGGAAATTTAAAGGAAACACATACACAGTTTTTTCATGGGTTGAGATCTCTTGCTATTGGTCAGCAGAGCCTCAGGAATGCAAGTAGACAATGAATTAGATAACTGCTTATACTGATTCCCTGCATTGGCAGGGAAAAGGCCAATGCAAATTATCAGGATGTACTGTGTGGACTACCAATCTTATCTTAGATCAGTGATACAACAATCCAACTAAATGCTCCTAAGTGGACACCTCATAAAATAATTATTGTATGGCATTTGTCAAAATTTTAAATGCTTTACAGCTCCTTTGTTTGTTCTTGTTTTGTCTGTGGGATTTCATTTCTAGGAAAATAACTAAATGGACTAAGTTTAAAAAAAAAAAACACCAATCATGTACATTACTAAGGGCAGACAGTCCATCTTCTGGATATTTCTGAAGATGCTCAATAAACGTTAATCAAAGTAGGTAATGATTCCCAACATGGGCTATTGTGTCTTCCACGTTTATTTTCTACACTTGATGTTAGCCAAAAGGCCAAGGAGCAATTCCATTTTCTTTCTTTCCTTCTTTCTTTTCTGAGACAAGTCTCACTCCGTCGCCCAGGCTGGAGTGCAGTGGCGCCATCTCAGCTCACTGCAACCTCCATCTCCCGGGTTCAAGCAATTCTCTGCCTCAGCCTCCTGAGTGGCTGGGATTACAGGCGCCCGCCACCAAGCCCAGCTAATTTTTTTGTATTTTTAGTAGAGACGGGGTTTCACCATCTTGGCCAGGCTGGTCTTGAACTCCTGACCTCGTGATCCACCCGCCTCAGCCTCCCAAAGTGCTGGGATTACAGGTGTGAGCCACCGCGCCTGGCCGTTTATTTTAATATATTCTTCAGCTCTGAATATTTGCTAGTATCCCAGTAATAGTTTGTTAAATCAATAAACGTGTTGACATACATGCATAGCATAATGTCTGGCACACAGTAGGTACTCCATTGAATGAATGCATGAATTATTACCGTGTCAATTTGCTTGTCTATTTGCAAATGTTAATAGTTAATTTGATCCCTAAAGTGTTTGTGAACTTAAAACACACACATACGCACTTTCCCTGACAACGCTTATCTGCTAACCCCTTAATTATGTTCATCTGAGACTGGACCAAAACATGTTGTTTTATTCAATTTAAATACCAAATTCAAATTTATTTTGAATATAGCTTAGAACACATTCAATGTTTGCTAAAATAATAATAATAATAATAATAATAATAATAATAATAATACCATGTACATTCAGTTAGCCAGACAATTACTCCAGCCCAAATACCCTGCTATGGGACATGAACCGGATGTCTGCCCGGCACACATTCATCAGGTGACCCCTAAAACTTCTTCTCTAAGGTCCACACTGTCTAATAGCCAAGTTGAAATCTTTCCTCGAAATTTTCCTCTCTAGTGTCTCAGTGCCCCAGGTGTCATCAAGGTGTCAAAGGCGCTTGGGAGTGCCTGCAAACCGCCCCATCCCCGGAGACACAGCCTCATTCCCCGCCCTCGCGCCTAGGCGGCCGGTGGGCGGGCCCAGCGAAGGGCCTTGTGGCTGTTTCCTATTGGGGCTTGGTTGCTATGGTGTCACTCGCCTTTAAACTCGTGGGTACATCTTTCGGAAATTAAAGGAGAATTACTTCCAGGGCTGCCCATACTTGCCATGGCCGACTCAGTAGTCACTAACTTCAACAAAAATAAAACTGTTGCAATAGTATTCTATTAAAGCTTCTTTAACTGCTTAAACTTGCGGTTTTGACATGGTACCTATCCTTTCTTCCCTTTTCAAAAGATTCGCTATAGAGTCTTTCTCTACATGCCAGTCTCCAAAATGGCGCGGACGGCATCAGAAGGTCAGAGGTGAGTCACGTGGGTCCCCCCGGTTCCGGCGCGGTTGAGGCCTTCGGTGGTGAACGAGTCTCCAGCACCATGTCTGGTTTGTCTGGCCCACCAGCCCGGCGCGGCCCTTTTCCGTTAGCGTTGCTGCTTTTGTTCCTGCTCGGCCCCAGATTGGTCCTTGCCATCTCCTTCCATCTGCCCATTAACTCTCGCAAGTGCCTCCGTGAGGAGATTCACAAGGACCTGCTAGTGACTGGCGCGTACGAGATCTCCGACCAGTCTGGGGGCGCTGGCGGCCTGCGCAGCCACCTCAAGGTGCGGCATTGGGCGACGTGGGGCCGGGAGGGAAGACGGCAGGCTTAGGCGAGGGGAGGCTCGGGTTCGGGGGAGTCGGGCCGGCGGAGGCCTGGGAGTTGTTCTGGCCTCCCGGGAGCGCAAAGGACGTGCGGTGGAGCCCGCCCCCTCACCCCGCTGGTTGCCTGTCGCGGGGCGGGGCGGGTCACCAACGCCTGGGAACCCCAAGAAGGGCTGCGAGGCTTTGGCGGATGTGGTGACACCTGAGCTGGGGCGGTTGTCAACGTCCTATACCAGTTTTGGTCTCAGATACATTGAACCGTAATTTGGTTCTCCAAATAAATGTTGGGGTGTTGAATATTTATACGGATTGGCATCATAAGATACCGCGATACCTGCAGGAAAGTAAAGGAGACAGAGCTAACCGTGATTAATAAAATGTTATTTATTGAGCATCTGCTGTGTCAGTTACTGTGCTACTTTGCATATATTACCATTTGGTTCATGCACTACCCTATGAAGTAGGTAGGTACTGTTAGCCCCATTTTACAAATGAGGAAACTGAGACTCAGAGGTAGGATAAACTAGTAAGTGTCACAGATGGAATAGATTCTTTTTTTTTTTTCAAAATTATTATTATACTTTAAGTTCTAGGGTACATGCGCACAACTTTCAGGTTTGTTACATATGTATACATGTGCCGTGTTGGTGTGCTGCACCCATTAACTCGTCATTTACATTAGGTATGTCTCCTAATGCTATCCCTCCCACCTCCCCCCACCCCACGACAGGCCCCGGTGTGTGATGTTCCCCACCCTGTGTCCAAGTGTTCTCATTGTTCAATTCCCACCTATGAGTGAGAACATGCGGTGTTTGGTTTTCTGTCCTTGCGATGGAATAGATTCTTACTTAGTTTGGTAGTTAAGTATGTTGAGGGAAAAGCGCTGCAACCTTATTCCTTCCTTGTTTTAAATTTGTAATTTCTGTAGTTGATTAAAGTCGATTATTGGTTACAAAATGGTCTCAGTCTCTAGTCCTTTTTCTTTGGTATGCCAGAATCTGGACTTGGCTCTTTTATGTAAATACCAACTATGCTCTTGGATGGTGACAACTACTGCCATAATACCAGTTTGATTCTGTTTTGTAGCTAAGAGTAGCCTGGCCTGGTCTTTGAGACATTAATATAATTTGATATCTGTCAGTATTTGGTTGCATTTTAGGTAATTTTATTCATTCACAATAAGCAAAGTGTCTTTTTTTTTCTTTGTAACACAATGGGGCTTTTGTTATACTAAATAGAAACATTTTTACTTTTTTTTTTTTTTTTTTTTTTTTTGAGACGGAGTCTTGCTCTGTCGTCCAGGCTGGAGTGCTGTGGCGCGATCTCGGCTCACTGCAGCCTCTGCCTCCCGGTTTCAAGCAATTCTCCTGCCTCAGCCTTCCGAGTAGCTAGGACTACAGGCGCCAGCCACCACACCCAGCTAATTTTTGTATTTTAGTAGAGATGACGGTTCACCATGTTGGCCAGGATGGTCTTGATCTCTTGACCTCGTGATCTGCCCGCCTCGGCCTCCCAAAGTGCTGGGATTACAGCCGTAAGCCACCGCGCCTGGCCTCGTTTTTACTTTTTAAAAGGGTTTCAGATATAATAAGACCATAACTTATGTTAAAGTAGTGGAACCCAGTAGTGTGGTAATACATGTAATTTATTTCTACTTTATTTGGGAGAGACAAACTATTTTCAGGGCAATTAATCTGTGACCCATCATTTTATTATTCTGTTTGGGTATCAAACTCTCTACCCAGGAAAATAGTGATGGCATGATTTTAGAAGCTTAGATATAGTGTTTCCGGGGTGGGAGATCATGCTTCCAACTCTTCAGAGGATGTTCATGGACTCAGGGAATTTCAGCAATGAAAGAGACCTTGCTCTCATCTCGTGTTGCTGTCTGATTTGTTCTTATATTTTAAAGCCCTTCAGTGGCTCACTATTGCTTATTGATAGTTTAAATTTCTCAACATGCTTTGTTGTGCTCTTCATGATCTGTTTCTGAGCTATACGTGTGGTCACTTCCCACTTTGCATTCTACATGGAGCCACCCTGGACAGTACCCTGAACTCACTTATTTTCTGAACTGTTTTTGTTTATGCCTTGACCTACTTACTAGACTGTTAGTATCCTCAGGGTAGGAACTATTTTCAGGTTCATCTTTTCTAGAATGCCAAGCATGTTACCTTGCTTCTAGTAAGTACTCTATAAATAACAGGAACTGTAGTTTAGCATGGCCTTATGGGAATTACATTGAATTTAGGGCTGCTGAAGGCACCTCAACAGCAGGACTTTAGGCCGGGCTTGGTGGGTCATGCCTGTAACCCTAACTCTTTGGGAGGCCGAGGCGGGTGGATCACCTGAGGTCAGGAGTTCAAGACCAGCCTCAGCAACATGCTAAAATCCAGTCTCTACTAAAAATACAAAAATTAGCTGGGCATGGTGGCGTGTGCCTGTAATCCCAGCTACCCGGGAGGCTGAGGCAGGAGAATCACTAGAACCTGGGAGGCAGTGGCTGCAGTGAGCTGACACCGTGCCACTGCACTCCAGCCTGGGCAACAGAACAAGACTCGGTCTCAAAACAAAACAAAACAAAGCAAAACAAAAACCAGCAGGACTTTGTGCACACACCCTAGCACTTTACTATCACTCAGTTGCTCTCCTGTGTCTGCTCTGTTCTTTTGCTACTAACCAGCTTAATGGAACCACAAGGGTCCTAAACCCAAATGCCAAATAGGTAATATCATTGAATAAATTGGACCAGGTATTTTAAAAAAAAAAGCAGTGATGATAAATGGGAGAATAATTGGACGTAGTAGAAACTGTTAATTAGGGGTGACCAATACTTAGTTCTTGATGAGACTTGCCATGCAAGCATGTGGGCCTTTTTGCCACATCTGATTTTTCCCTTCCCCTCCCCTCCCCTCTTCCTTCCCTTCCTTCCTTTCTTCCTCCCTCTCTCCCTCCCTCCCTCCAGTGGCACCATCACAGCTCACTGCAGCCTTGACCTCCTCAGGGCCCAGGTGATCCTCCTACTTCAGGCTCCTGAGTAGCTGGGATTACAGGCACATGCCACCATATCCGGCTAGTTTTCATATTTGTTTGTAGAAATGGAGTTTCGCCATGTTACCCAGGCTGGTCTCGAACTCCTGGGCTCAAGTGATCCGCCCATCTCGGCCTCCCAAAGTGCTCGGATTACAGGCATGAGCCATTGCACCTAGCCCACATCTGATTTTTCAAATGAAATAGGAACACCAGATTTTGATGTGAAAGCTCCAGACTTTTAAATTTCATCAGCCAGGTTTCAGCACTGCAGAGCTTGGGAGCTCCCGGCCCACCCGAGGGCCATGGATCTCATTGTCCTCACCACTGCTTTGCCACTCCATTTTCCTCAATAAAATGGTTTGGCCCCCTAAAAATTAAAAAAAAAAAATTTCACCAGCCAATTCAGATTGGTTCGGGCATTGATTTGTTTTCAGTGTTATAGGGAATAGTATAGTGAGTTCACCTTTCTACCCATTACTCATATTCACCAATTATCAGGATCTTTCCACACGTGTCATCTTAACTGCTTCTGCCATATCATTTCATGCTAAATTGTATTAAAGTAAATCCCAGATGTCATGTATTTCATTCCTGCCTACTTCAGCATGCATCTCTTTAAAAATATAAACCACAATGTTACGTGGCTAATCACGCCTCACAAAATGAACAATGATGGCCAGGCGCGGTGGCTCATGCCTGTAATCCCAGCACTTTGGGAGGCCGAGGTGGGCGAATCACGAGGTCAGGAGTTCGAGACCAGCCTGACCAACACGGTGAAACCCCGTCTCTACTAAAAATTTAAAAAAAAATTAGCTGGGCGTGGTGGCACACATCTGTAATCCCAGCTGCTCTAGGCTGAGGCAGGAGAATCTCTTGAACCTGGGAGGCGGAAGTTGCAGTGAAGTATGATTGTGCCACTGCACTCCTACCTGGGCTACAGAGTGAGACTCTGTCTCCAAAAAAAAAAAAAGAACAATGATTCCTTGATACCCAGTCCATATAGTATGATCCCACTTGTCTCAAAAATATCTTTTGAAAGTTAATTTGTTGTCTCTCTCAAGTGTCTAATCTAGAGCAGTCTCCTCTTCCTCTCACCTCCTTTTTTATCCTTGCAATTGAATTGTTGGAGTCAATTGCTCTTAAAAGAATGTACAGCATTTCGGAGTTGTCTTTTGCTTCCTAGAGGTGTCTTTTAACCAGTTCTTCCACTATATTTTTTGTAAAAGGAATCAGCTGTAAAGATGTAACCAGAGGTTCAGCAAACCACCATGGCACACGTATACCTATGTAACAAACCTGCACGTTCTGCACATGTACCCCTCCAGAACTTAAAGTGTAAAAAAAAAAAAAAAGATGTAACCAGATTCAGGTTTAATCTTTCTGTCGAGGGTGTCACTGCAGGAACACACAGTACTTTTTGTGCCCCTTATTGCTGCTGCTAAGATTGATAAGTGGATTAAGGTGTGTCTTAGTGTCCTATTGCTGCTGTAACAAATTACCACAGATTTATGGCCTAAAACATCAGGGATTTGTCTTAATCGTTCTGAAGGTCAGAAGTCCTAAAATCAGGGTTTTGGCAGAGCCATGTTTCTTCTGGAGACTTTTTGGGAGTGGGGTGGGGATCAGTTTTCTTGCCCTTTCTAGCTTCTAGAAGCCACTTGTATTCTTTGGCTCATATCTCCTTCCTCCATCTTTAAAGCCAGGCTGGGCGCGGTGGCTCTCGTCTGTAATCCCAACGCTTTGGGAGGCCAAGGCGGGCAAATCACTGAAGGTTAGGAGTTTGAGACCAGCCTGGCCAACATGGTGAAACCCCGTCTTCACCAAACATACAAAAATTAGCTGGGCATGGTGGTGCACACCTGTAGTCCCAGCTACTCAGGAGACTGAGGCAGGGGAATCGCTTGAACCTGGGAGGCGGAGATTGTAGTGAGCCGAGATCGTGCCACGGCACTCCAGCCTGGGTGACAGAGCGAGACTTTGTCTCAAAAAAAAAAAAAAAATTAAAGCCAGTAGCATAGTATCTTTAACTCTCTCCCTTTCCTTCCCTTTTCCATCCTCTGCTTTGTTCCTCACCACCCCTTCTTCCTCTCTTCCTCCCTCCTTCCCCGGCTATCATCATCTCATCTCATTCTCTTACTCACCTGCCTCCCTCGTTCCCTTATAAGGACCCTTGTGATAATCTTCTCCACCTCAAGACCCTTAATCTGATTTAATCACATCTGCACAATCCCTTTTGCCATGTAAGATAACACATTCGTGGGTTCTAGGGATTAGGATGTGGACATCTTTGTGTGTGGGAGGCATTTTTTTCTCTACCCGGGTGGTAATAGCCCAAAGCCTTCATTGTAAAGTTTCCCATTAACCTTTCACTTAGGAATCCACTGATGACTACTGTGTGCATTTATTATGTCATTAAGGTTGTGAAATGATGACTTTCTAATTCCGTTACTCCTTCCATATTTATTAGCTGAAATTATTCTTAAGGAATTAATATCATCTGATTATCCTAAAATTTATCATTCACATTGGTAGGATAAATGCAGAATTTATTTCTTCTAATTGATAATTGTCAGAGTAAGGAATTGTTGCCCTTGTCATTTTCAGTGTTGTCCAAGAGTTTTTGGGTTTTTTTTTAAAGTATTTTACTGAACTCTTTTTAATTGTTGGCTTCAACTTTTAGAATCATTGTGTTTTAGGCAGTTGTTTCCATTCTTTATGCCCAATTTGTCCCTTTGGTTCCTTCATATTGGCTCCTGTATTTTTTCAACATAATCCTGTTAGGTTTTGATAGCATCCTTGTTTTCTGGCACAACAAAGTGTTCTAGGCTTATCTTGTATATGTCTATCCTCTGACCTCAGAACAACTGTTTCTCTAAGGAATTCTAGTTCCTTTTTGTGGGGATTGGTATTTGGAGACCACAAGCTAGGTGTCATTTTTGAAAATGTAATATACCATGCAAGCCACAGAACACATTTGTGAGCAGATGCAGCCCATAGCGGCTTTCAGTCTTTTTCATGGTGTCCGTTCACTTAGTTCCACTTTTTCTTTTTTTGTTGAGATGGAGTCTCGCTTTCACCCAGGCTGCAGTGCGGTGGTGCAATCTTGGCTCACTGCAGGCTCTGCTCCCCGGGGTTCACACCATTCTCCTGCCTCAGCCTCCCAAGTAGCTGGGACTACAGGCGCCCGCCACCACGCCCGGCTAATTTTTTGTATTTTTTGTATTTTTTGTATTTCACCGTGTTAGCCAGGATGGTCTCAATCCCCTGACCTCATGATCCGCCCGCCTCTGCCTCCCAAAGTGCTGGGATTACAGGCATGAGCCACCACGCCCGGCCGTTCCACTTTTTCTTATATTTTGACGACTGCTTCAAGGATTCTCCCTATGCATCATTTTAGCTTCTGGAGTGCAACTCCTAAGTGCCAGAGCTCCTTTTCATATGGTAGGCCACATTCTAGGTCTCAGTTCAGCCAATGGATTGTCTTGTCTTTGGTCATATTTCCACCCCTGCTTTAGGCAGCTGTGGTTTGATTTGAGGTAGGAGGAGAACTGGAGACTGGTGCAGAACCTGGCCAGCTGAGCTTAGCATTTGGTGGTTGTGCTGAATGAGGCAGTCTTTTTTTTGAGATGGAGTTGCGCTCTTTTTGCCCAGGCTGGAGTGCAATGGCATGATCTCGGCTCACTGCAACCTCTGCCTCCCAGGTTCAAGCAATTCTCCTGCCTCAGCCTCCCAAGTAGCTGGGATTATAGGCGCGTACCACTACTCCCGGCTAATTTTTGTATTTTTAGTAGAGACGGGGTTTCACAATATTGTCCAGGTTGGTCTCAAACTCCTGACCTCAGGTGATCCGCCCGTCTCCCAAAGTGCTGGGATTACAGGCGTGAGCCACTGTGCCTAGCCTGAGGCAGTCTTTCTTATAAGGGTCTCTGTGAATATAGTGCCTTGGTTAATCTGACTGATTCACCTTCTTTCTGTCTAGGAACATCTCAGTATCCAGTGAATGCACCTATGTTATCATATACCACTCTGTGTTGCAGTTGTGTATTTGCCCATCTCCTGGGATAAACTATAAGCTGCTTGAACAGAGACTAGGTTTCATTCATCATTGCAATGCTTGTCTAAAATAAGGCCTGGCACATAGTAGGACCTTATCCTAAGGAATTAGTGAACAGACGAGCAAGCACTGTCTTTGCCTCATCTCTGATCTTTCCCTCTTCCATTCTCTTTATTTGCTTCCTCCCACTCTGACTCTAGCTATACTGAACACCTTACAGTTCTTTGAATATAATGTTCTCTTTACCTGGATCAATGTTTGACTTTCTGTGTCCCCTATGTGTCCCATTGGCTTATAACTTCTTTTTTCCCCCTCACCAAAAGTTGTATGAAAAGATACTGTAGTACCATTACATCCTGTTTTACATGGCACTTTTCATGTAGTGTAGTGTTTACTTTGTGAACTCTTTAATGTCTTACTCATCTTTGTGTCTTTAGTTTAACGTACACATTGTTGTATAACTGAGTTAAACATCTTAGTCTTCTTGAGAAGCCTTGTGGTATGGTAGAGACTAGATCTGAAGTAAGATAGATTTGGTTCAGATCCCAGCAGCTCCACCATTTAAAGGTTATGTGGGTCTTGCAGGGATTACTTAACCCTTCTTCTCTGGTCCTGTTTCTGTAATATGGGAATCGTAGAGCTCATAAACTTGTTAGAAGGACTGATTGAGATGGGTGAGGTTTTTATTGTGCAGGGCCCATTATGGTGCTCCATAGATGTTAGTACTCTTTTCTTTCCTCTGTATTGAATGAAAATTGAATTGCTTCTCAGAGCCCCTCATGCTATATGTCATTGAAATAAGTAGATATGGAGTATTTTAATGAGAGGAATTATGAGTAGTTTGTGATTCTTTCATTCATTCAACAAATATTTATGTAATATTTAGTATGTGTCAGACCTGGCTGAGAATATGGGGATAAACGGGACAAGGTCCTCAAGCTCTTGTGGGGAACAAAGACAAAAAACAAGTTAAAATAATAGAATTTCAGGTAGTGATAAGCACTATAATGAAAGTTCAGGCACTAGGGAGTAGGGGGTGACTGATGGGTTAAAGGGTGTTTGAGTGGTCAGGGGAGGCCTTTCTGAAGCAGAGAGAGATAAATGGATTGAAATGATGGGTGGTCCTCTCCTGCAAAGATTTCTATTTCAGACCTATATTGAGATGCATTTTGTGTTAAGATCTCCAAACTGAGTCTATTCCATACTTCCCTACTCATTTCATAAAGTGAGGCTAAATCAGGCTAACTAGTGTCAGGTATAAAGACTTTGCTGCACATAATTGAAGCAGGAAGTATCAACTCGTCATTTACAGTGAATATAGAAGTTTCCTCCATTACTTCAGGTCCATAATAAAAGCCTGTTGTAGGGACTCAGAAATTTGGGTAATATTTTTATTATTATTTTGCTCTGGCTGGAGTGCAGTGGCATGATCATAGCTCGCTGCAACCTCGAACTCCTGGCCTCAAGTGATCCTCCCACAGCACTGAGATTACAGGCATGAACCCCTGCACCTGGCTGAAAATTTGGATCTTATACCAAGTTATGATTTCTGTCCTTCCCAACTAGCTTATAGATAAGAAAGCCAAACAGATCCCTTAAAGAGTTCAGCCTTGAATCACAGGCCTACCACAACTTAAGCCTAAAAATTATGAAGAAGTAACTTGGCAGTTGGGAAACTATTGGCTTATAACTTCTTTTTTCCCTCACCCAAAGCTGTATGAGAAGATACTATAGGCCAGGCATGAGGACAGAGAGGAGAGGGAGGAGGAAGGAGAAAAGGACAGTGGTGGGGGTGGGGGCGAGGAGGAGAAAAGAGAGAGAGGCAGAGGGGCGAAGAGGCAGGGGAGGGAGGAAGGAAGGAAAAGATGGTATATATGCTATAGTTTTCAGATTATTTTGTTTGGAATTACTGTATTTCAGCTTTTTTATTACTGGTATCTGTACTGAGGTCTGTTCTGTGCTGACAAGGAGAAAGAATAGGATGCTTCGGCTGGGCGTGGTGGCTCACGCCTGTAATCCCAGCACTTTGGGAAGCTGAGGTGGGTGGATCACGAGGTCAGGAGAATGAGACCATCCTGGCCAACATGGTGAAACCCTGTCTCTACTGAAAATACAAAAATTAGCCAGGCGTGGTAGTGTGCACCTGTGGTCCCAGCTACTCAGGAGGCTGAGGCAGGAGAATCGCTTGAACCTGGGAAGTGGAGGTTGCAGTGAGCCGAGATCACGCCACTGCACTCCAGCCTGGGCGACAGAGTGAGACTCCGTCTCAAAAAAAAAAAAAAAAAAAAGGAATAGGATGCATGTTGCTCAGTCATCGAAATGAACCATCCTTTTTATCAATAACGATCCCATGAACCCTTACTTATGCCAGACTTTTTCTGTAGGGAGAAATATGGCCCTTTCAGCGTGAATTTAACGTGACTGTTGTTCACTGGGTTAGAAACAGGTCAATAAATAGATGGTTCAGTACAGAAGGCTAATTGGTACATTGACATTTAATAATATAAATCGAATTTCTTTTTGTATTATATACAAAGTTCCTAGCTTTTAATTATAACTTGACCTTTGCGTCCTTCTCCATAAAAGTTAAAGGATACATTGCTTCATTTAAATCTCTCTTATTCAGTAAACAGTTGTCTACAGCCTTCCCTGTTTTGAACTGATCTAGAGAAGGGGGCTGCTTCCAGTTTGAAATTGCTACACCATATCTTTATGCTGACTTCTGAAGACTGAGTCTGGTTTCTAGGAAAGTGGAACAAATATATAAAGGTAACCCAGTAGGGGTGCAGTGACTTCTATGCTGTTTCTTGTGTGAATTGCTGACTGGTAGTTTGATCCTGAGCCATTGCCCCCATATGCATATAGAGCCTGGCAGCCTGGACAGTAGAGCCCTCTGTGAAATCAGCCAGCTGGCCACAGACCTGAACTTGGGCTCCCAAACAAGTCTCCGACTTGAGGGAGGTTGATGTCATCTGCTTTATCCTGTGCTCCCAACCTCATTGTTCAACATAAAATGTGGGAAATCAAGGGAATAGTTGTTAAGAAAGAACAAGACTTTGTTTGTGCTCATAATGAAAGGGTCACGCTGGAGGTTTTTACCGTAAATAACTTTGGAACAGTATGAAAAAAAACATTTGATCTGGCTTCACCCCCGCAGTAGTATTGTTAGGGCAGCAACGGGTCTTTCGTTCTCGTTCCCCTCCTTTCCTCCCTCTCTTTCTCCCCTTTTCTTACCCCCCCACTCCTCCCCCAAGTCAAGCATGACGTATTGCCTATGTTAAGTTAATGTAGCAAATGCTGATAGAAGCAGGAAGAGAGCATCTATCCATTATCATGCCAGTGCCTGGAAATTTGCTATTTCTGGTTTTCAGCATTTCTAGAAAAAGCCTCCTAGCCTCCTTGATCATATTTTAGCTTAAGCAATACTTATGTACTATGTTATACTATCAGTGAACTGTACTAGAAATTTGAAAGAATTTAGTGTTGCCAAATGCTGCCTGTGGGCTAAGTTTGACTTTGTTCTGGGCAAAATCTAGATGTGATCCTTTTATTTCAGGAATATATTTGATAGACTTTGTACATGCTTTTGTTTAAAAGATCAGCTTAAATTCATTTTATGCCCATTAAATGTAGCACCTAAGCCGTCAGAGTTTATGTTTTTCGTTTTTGAGATACAGTGGTCCCTTTTGAAAGTGTTTCTGAGGCTGGGCATGGTGGCTCACGCCTGTAATCCCAACACTTTGGGAGGCTGAGGTGGGAGGATCACAAGGTCAGGAGTTCGAGACCAGCCTGGCCAACATGGTGAAACCCTGTCTCTACTAAAAATACAAAAATTAGCCGTGCATGGTGGCGTATGCCTGTATTCCCAGCTACTCGGGAGGCTGAGGCAGGAGAATCGCTTGAACCTGGGAGGTGGAGGTTGTGGTGAGCCAAGATCATGCCACTGCACTCCAGCCTGGGCAACAGCGTGAGACTGTCTAAAAAAAAAGAAAGAAAGAAAAAGAACATGTTTCTGATATATTTTTCTATCTAAAGCCATAGCATCTTTAATGAGTTGGTGTTCTTTCTGCTTTTTTATATCTTAGGGGAATAGACCCTTTGGCTCAGTATTCACTTGTGAATTCTTATGAAGAGTAGAGATAATTATATATGCAACCTCAATCCTCTCTCTCTTTCCGCCATATCTAATGTTGGATTCTTCATGTAGTTTATTCCTTATTAAGTTAAAAACCACATACAGGAAAAGCTGGCATCATCTTGGATTCCTTACTGTCTCTCTTTTTATCAGCTAAAAGGATCAAACATCTGCTTTCTTAGGCATTTTGTATCCTTTCATTTTCTAAATCTTGCTGCTGCTTCCTTGAGAGTGTACCTGACTACCCCTTTCTCTCTGTTTCCATGCAATAGCCATTTGGGCCCTAATCATCCCTGGATTTAGTGAACATAGCACAATTTATCTAGTTTGCCATCCATTAGTACTCTTAGGTTAGAACATATGGTTAATGGGCCAGAGATGGTGGCTTACGTCTGTAATCCTAGCACTTTGGGAGGCTGAGGCAGGCGGATTGCCTGAGCTCAGGAGTTTGAGACTAGCCTGGCCAACATGACAAAACCCCGCCTCTTCTAAAAATACAAAAAAAAAAAAAAAAATATATATATATATATATATATATATATATATATATATATATATATTAGGCCAGGTGCAGTGGCTCACGCCTGTAATCCCAGCACTTTGGGAGGCCGAGGTGGGTGGATCACATGGTCAGGAGTTCGAGACCAGCCTGGCCAACATGGTGAAACCCTATCTCTACTTAAAAAATAAAAAATTAGCCGGGCCTGGTGGCGCACACCTGTAGTCCCAGCTACTTGGGGAGGCTGAGGCAGGAGAATTGCTTGAACCCGGAGGTGGAGGTTGCAGTGAGCTCTGATCGTGCCACTGCACTCCAGCCTGAGCAACAGTGCAAATCTCTGTCTCAAAAAAAAAAAAAAAAAAAAGCCGGGCATGGTGGCATGCATCTGTAGTCCCAGCTACTCTGGAGGCTGAGGCACAAGAATTGCTTGAACCCGGGAGTCAGAGGTTGCAGGGAGCTGAGATAGTGCCACTTCACTCCAGCCTTTACGACAGAGCAAAACTCTGTCTCAAAAAAAAAAGGAAGAAAATGTGGTTAATGACCTAAATATTTATGGAGTTCTGAGTTATCACCAACAGTTATAACAATAATATAACACCTATTGAATGCCTGCTATGTGACAAACACTGTTCCAGGCAGTTTACCTGTATAACATTTAATCTTCACAGTAGCTGGGCGTGGTGGTGTGTCCTTGTAATCCCAGCTACTCAGGAGGCTGGCACAAGAGGATCTCTTGAGCCCAGGAGTACATAACCAGCCTGGGCAACACAGTGAGACCCTATCTAAAAAAAAAAAATCCTCACAATAACCTTATGATGTATGTACAACTGTTGTCCTTATTTTACAAATGAGGTAGACAAGTTAAGGAACATGCCCAAGTGTTTACAGCTGGTAAACGGCACACCTGTGATTTGAGCACGGACCAGAAAGTCTGACTCTAGAACCTTCCATCTTAAAAGTACTATGTTGTATGGTCTCTCAGAGAGAGAAAAGGCTAGCTATTCCTGTTTCCGTTCTTTTTTTTTTTTTTTTTTTTTTTTTGATACGGAGTCTCACTCTGTCGCCCAGGCTGGAGTGCAGTGGCGAGATCTCGGCTCACTGCAACCTCTGCCTCCCGGGTTCAAGCGATTCTGCTGCCTCAGCTGCCTGAGTAGCTGGGACTACAGGCGAGTGCCACCATGCCCGGCTAGTTTTTGTATATTTAGTAGAGACAGGGTTTCACCGTGTTAGGCAAGATGGTCTCGAACTCCTGACCTCAAGTGATCTGCCTGCCTCAACCTCCCAAAGTGCTGGGATTACAGGCGTGAGCCACCGCGCCTGGCCCGTGAGTTTTTTGTTTGTGTGTTTGTTTTGAGACAGGGTCTTGCTCTGTCACCCAGGCTGAAGTGCAATGACATGATCACAACTCACTGCAGCCTTGACCTCCTGGGATCAGGCAATCCTCCTCCCTGAGGCTTCTGAGTAGCTGGGACCACAGGTATGCACCACCACACCAAACTAATTTTTTTTTTTTTAATTATTTTTAGAGGCAGGGTCTTCCTGTGTTGCCCAGGCTGGTCTCAAATTCCTGGACTCAAGTGACCCTCCCCTTTCGGCCTCCTAAAGTGCTGGCGTTACAAGGTGTGAGCCAGTGGGCCTGGTGGACCTTGTGAGTTTTGAGGACCCTGGCCAGGTATTTTGTAGGTTGCCCTCTATTGGGCATTTGTCAGATGTTTTTCTCATGATAAGGTGAGGTTATGGGTTTTGGGGAGGAAGACCACAGAGATAAAATGTCATTTTTTTTTTCTTGTCAAAACCATGATTCACTTATAAAGTGTCATTTTCATCACATCATATCAACATGATTTGTCACGTTGATACTGCCCTTGATCATTTGGATGAATTAGTGTTTGTCAGGTTTCTTCACTATACAATATTCTTTTCTTTCCTTTTTTCCCCCTTAATGATGTTTTGGTCAGTCCACTACAGAGTAACTCTTTTTTCCCCCTTTCTATTCTGTGTTCTTTAGAAGGAAGTCACTTTATGTAGCCCACACTTAAGGAGTGGGGAGTTATGCTTCACACTCCTTACGGGTGCCTACATAAATTATTTGAGAATCTTCACGGAAGATTTGTCTCTCTTCCTTATTTATTTATTTAATCAATCATTTATATGTAAGTGTAGATTCATGGATGTTTACTATGTACTTTGGATTATAAACCAGTACTATAATTGTTGCCCTGATTGTTTCAGCTTTAGCTATTGGGAGCCCTTTAGGTTCCTGTGTCCCTTTGACATACCCGCATTCTTGTATTTTTTGGATTTTCATTTTTGTTTGTTTGTTTGTTTTGAGACAGAGCCTTGCTTTGTCACCCAGGCTGGAGTGCAGTGGCATAATCTCCTCTCACTGCAACCTCTGCCTCCTGGGTTCAAGTGATTGTCATGCCTCAGCCTCCTGAGTAGCTGCAATTACAGGTGGGTGCCACCATGCCTGGCTAATTTTTGTATTTTTAGTAGAGATGGGGTTTCTCCATGTTGGCCAGGCTGGTCTTGAACTCCTGACCTTAAATGATCTGCCCCCCACCCCGCCCCGGACCTCTGGTTTTTGTTTTTGAGCACTTCTTACTTTCTGGCACTATAAGATGCTCCAGGCTCATTTTGTACATTTCCTTCCTCAGTCTTAGGATCATTTCTCCAAGGAGCCCTGGTTGCTTTTATTGGAGAAGGGAATTAAGTCTGGGTGGATAGTGTTATTTTTAAGGCATCTTTTTCTGGTACCTTTTTTTTTTTTTTTAAATGCAGTTGTGCTAGCAAGTGGCCAAAAGTAGTCCCGTCCTTCCTGCAACTTTAGAGTAAGGGTGGAATTCTGTGAGCAGCAGGAGTGGGCTAGGATGGGGAGAAATGTAGTGCTTAGGGGCAGGGCAGAGAACCAGGTCTCACCTCTGCATTAGATCAGGTCATTCATTGTTAGGGAGGGTCACTAAAAGAACTCATTTGAACTGTACTTGTATCTTTAGCAAGATGATGGTTGAAAATGAAGAGTCTGTTAGTTACAGTCCTTTTACGAGGATCTTCCTGATAAATTGTTGTTCGTGGTTACTTCCAGGAAAATTGTCCCTTAGATAAATTTGTGAGCTTTCATCAGAAAACAAATGATGTCTCTTTAGTCTTTTAATTTTGGCTTCCAGAAAACTTAGAACCAAATTTATTTTACAGATATCATTTGCTCAATTTAGGTTCTTGATAAGACTTTTTTCTTCCCTCAGGTGAACTCTATTCCATTTTATTCCTAATTGCCTTATTGACCTAAGCTACTTATAGATCCTTTTGAAGTTTTATTTTGAATGTTTGGTAAAGGAATGAGAGCAGGCTTCAGTGGCAGGACCTGCTCAAAAATCTGTTTCCAGCCACTGCCTAGCACGGTCCAAGAAAATCCAATTTTAAATGAGTTTATCTTCCCAGTTACCTGTTTTCGCACTTCTCACAGGCTCAGTGTGAGTATTCACATATTCTTGACATCACCTACTCTGCATATAAAATTAACACTTTTTTTTCCTTCTCTTTTTTTCTTGAGATGGAGTCTAGCTTTGTCGCCTAGGCTGGAGTGCAGTGGCACAATCTCGGGTCACTGCAACCTCTGCCTCCCAGGTTCAAGTGATTCTCCTGCCTCAGCCTCCTGAGCAGCTGGGATTACACGCGCCTGCCACCATGCCCGGCTAATTTTTTATTTTTAGCAGAGACAGGGTTTTGCCATGTTGGTCAGGCTGGTCTCAAACTCCTGACCTCAAATGACGTGCCACCTTAGCCTCCCAAAGTGCTGGGATTACAGGCATGAGCCACCGTGCCCATCCCCCCTACTTTTTAAGTTGTGAACTTTGTTTTGCTTTTCTTCAGAAGGTGATATCTAGAAACAAATCTTTATTACTTCCTATTCCTTGATGTCATATGGGCAAATTTTATAGCTTGGTATTACCTTTGTTTAATTAAAGAACTTTATTATCACTATTATAAGTATTTATTGTTAAAAGGAAAGAAAAGAATCCTTTTAAGGTCTTGCTATTATAGTAGGTAAAAGTAGCAGTTATTGATTCACCAAGGTGGTTCTCTAGGACAATTTAAGAAGAAAAAAAAAACCTCTCACTTCTTGAGAAACCAGATGACCTTTTAAGGTGATCTGTAATTAGAACATTTTAATGAAAGGAAATTAAGCTATCATTTTATTTTTTTAGCCTATTAGACTTTGCTGGCTCTGGTTAGTCATTGAGTTTGGCCCAGTTTCCTATTCCCTAATTTTAGCTACCTGGTTTATGTAATGATATTGGGGTTGGGAGATGTGATTTTTGTTTTGTTTTGTTTTTCTTTAAGACTAATGACTTGGCTCCTAAATAACTACAAAGTTATATGAACTAGATAGGAAACCTACTGATTTTCAGAAAAATCGTGAGATGTTTTAGAATGCCCAAACAGGCCATATGAGTGAGCCCCACCTGAAAGTTCAGTTGTCAGGTTGCCTGCCTGGATTTCCAAATATCCAGATAAATTCCCTCATGTAGTTGTGTCATCTGAAGGTTATAGGGAGTGTAGACATGTGGAGGCCTTGGGCGAACTTCCAGCATCATCACACACTATTTCTGGGAGGTAAATTTCATGTTGATAAAAGGTGCAGGCTGCAGTGGCGGGCCCTTTGCCTTCAGCCTCTTGAAATGAATTTCAGTTTTTGCCTTAAAATGAGTCTTTAATAATCTTCGGATGTCATAGAGAGAAGAGACAATGCAAATGGTTCTTCTGTGATTGCAGTTCCTCAGTACAATGTGGTAGAGGACAATTTAAATAGTATTTACCCCTTTGGAGTACCAGCTGGAGATGTGATTTTCCTGAAGTCTTTCAGAAAAACATAGCAGATTTCTTAATTCATTTTGTAAGGTACTTTTAGCAATGACTTAAGAATTTTATGACGTGCATTTAAGCTCCTTTATGATGTAGAGAGACTCCTCTCCTTAAGTTAAAATAAAAAAAAGTTTTTGAAGGACACTGTTCATATCTTGGAGGAAAATTAAGAGATTATAATCTCTTCTTCCAGGAAATAAGGTGGTTGGGCAAATGTGTGCAAATCCTGCAAACACTGTTAAATTCAGTTGTTTGTCCTAGGCCAATGACTTAGTCTCTTTCCTTGCCTTAGCATGGAGATGATGAAATCTGTGATGACTCTTTTCAGTACTTTCACCTTGATGCTTATTCCAGGCTGTCCTCTACCAGTTTCACTTACATTTAGACATTTTCAGCAACCTGTAATTATTAGCCTTCTTCCTTCAGAATTAAGCCAATGCAATGAGCAAATCTGGAAAGTTATGTTACCCAAGTTCAATGTTGTCTGCAACTTTATTCTTAGGAGGAAAGTCCAAATCCAAATTAGGGTCTCTAGATTGGCTTGGAATGTGAAAAATCTGTTATTCCTGCTGTCTACCTTTTTGAACTTCTTCTTTGCTCTTAAATTTTGTCTTTATGCTTTATAAAGTGAGAATCTTGGGGAAGTGAGTATCTTTGTGGGTCAACTGATTCTGAAGAAAGGAAGAGAGGCATCACACTGATGACTACACATTACTTTGTGATTTGGTTAGTTCTCAGACCTTTTTGACTGATATGTGTGTATCCAGGGTTCTAAGGTATTTATTTATTTATTTATTTATTTTGAAACGGAATTTCACTCTTGTTGCCCAGGCTAGAGCGCAATGGTGCGATCGCGACTCACCACAACCTCCATCTCCCGGGTTCAAGTGATTCTCCTGCCTCAGCCTCCTCAGTAGCTGGGATTACAGGCATGCGCCACCATGCCTGGCTAATTTTGTATTTTTAGTAGAGATGGGGTTTCTCCATGTTAGTCAGGCTGGTCTCGAACTCCCGACCTCAGGTGATCTGCCCGCCTCGGCCTCCCAAAGTGCTGGGATTACAGGCATGAGCCACCACACCCGGCCCTCTGAAGTACTTTTTGGCTGGGCACGGTGGCTCATGCCTGTAATTTCAGCATTTGGGAGGCCAAGGTGGGAGGATCACTTGAGCTCAAGAGTTCGAGACCAGCCTGGGCAACATAGGGAGACCCTGTCTCTACAAAAAATAAGACAATTAGTCGGGTGTAGTGGTGCACACCTGTAGTCCCAGCTACGCGGAAGACTGAGGCAGAAGGATGGCTTGAGCCTACGAGGTTGAGGCTGCAGTAAGCTGTGATTGTGCAGCTGCACTCCAGCCTGGGCAACAGTGAGGCCCCCTCTCAAAAATAAATAAAAATAAAGTAGTCCTTTTTTATGCTGCTTCTTTCAGTTTATGATTCAGAAAAATTATCACACAAACAAGAGGCCTTTAAGAATCTTCAAGGCTAAATTTCCCTTGATTGTTTAGCTGATGCTAACTTCAAGGTCTTTACCTTGTGGCTGCCTGCTGATCTCTCTAAGGTGGAGAATGCAGACTGATCAGTGCTGTGTTAACACTTGAGAGGACTCTCAACTCTGATTTGCACTGATGCAAAGATTCTATTAGTCTTTCTTGGCCACTGTACATTCCTCTTTTTTCAGACATTCCTTTTGGGGGAAGGCAGCATGGGATGCAGAAAGAGAGTGGGTTTTGGACATTTCTCAAATCCACGTAACACTATTTATTTATTTTTACTTCTTTTTTTTTTTGAGATGGAGTTTTGCTCTTGTCACTCAGGGTGGAGTGCAGTGGTGCGATCTCAGCTCACTGCAGCCTCCGCCTCCCAGGTTCAAGCAATTCTCCTGCCTCGGCCTCCTGAGTAGCTGGGATTACAGGCACCTGCCACTACGCCCAACTAATTTTTGTATTTTTAGTAGAGACGGGGTTTCGCCACGTTGGCCAGGCTGGTCTGAAACACCTGACCTCAGGTGATCCACCCGCCTCGGCCTCCCAAAAGTGCTGGGATTACAGGTGTGGGCCACTGCACCTGGCTATTTATTGAGACATGTTCTCACTCTGTTGCCCAGGCTGGAGTGCAGTGGCACAATCACAGCTCACTGCAGCCTCGACCTCATGGGATCAAGCAGTCCTCCCATCTCAGCCTCCTGAGTAGCTGGGACCACAGGCGCATGTCAACCACACCCAGCTAATTTTATTTTTTGTAGAGACGGCATCCCACTATATTGCCCAGGCTGGTCTCAAACTCCTGGGCTCAAGTGATCCTCCCACCTTGAATTCCCAGAGTGCTGGTATTACAAGTGTGAGCCACTGCACCTGACCAACACGATTTATTTATTAACTGCTATAATGGACAAGTTACTAAGTTTCCTCATCAGTAAAACAGGAATAACAAGACCAGTTTCCATGGAGTTGCTGAGAAGATTAAAGATTATGTTTGTAAAGTATATAGCATGATTCTTTAACCCTTTTATCTTTCCAAACCACTCAGTTGCAGAACCCCAAGCTCCGATCAGTTCATGCATGTGCCTTTTCTTTTCTTCTGCATCCTGGCTGCTAGGTTGTACCGCTAGAAATGTGTGGTTCATTATCTTAGCTGAGATCTCAGTGCTACCCAGCAGTCATTCTATGTGATGTTAGTCAGCTTTCTTTCTGTCCTGTGGAGAGGGCAAAATTGTTGGCCCAGAAGAACTTGGTTCTATAGGTGTGTTTTGTTTTTCCTTGAGATAGTTTTTCTTTTCTTTTCTTTTCTTTTCTTTTCTTTTCTTTTCTTTTTTTTGAGACGGAGTCTTGCTCTGTCACCAGGCTGGAATGCAGTGGCGTGATCTCTCTCACCCTGGTTTCAAACGATTCTCCTGCCTCAGCCTCCCAAGTAGCTGGGACTACAGGCACGCATCACCATGCCCAACTAATTTTTGTATTTTTAGTAGAGACGGGGTAGGATGGTCTCGATCTCTTGACCTCATGATCCACCCACCTCGGCCTCCCAAAGTGCTGGGATTACAGGTGTGAGCCACCGTGCCCGGCCTGAGATAGTTTTTCAAATGTTGGGATTGGTTGTAAAGATTTAAAAATTAAGAGATTTCAAATGAAAGTTAAAATGTCTACCTTCTCTTGAAAAACTGGATGATCTGAAAACCTGGAGTGCCATGGCAGTCATTGGCTTTTCCTATAACACAGGCCATCTTTTCTAGTTTGCTGTGTATGGCTTGTGCTGGTCCAGTAGACTCAGTATGTTTCTCACTTGATCTCTGTGGGCATTTACTTTTTGGTTTTGTCCTGTAGACTCTACCTCCTTAAAATCCCTCAAACTCTTCAGTTCATGGGTTACTAAACTTTTTTGTAATTACATAAAATTATTTAATTAAATACAATTTAATAAACCTTAATAAAATTAAATAAAATTTAAAATTATTTTAATTAAATAAAATCTGTCACCTTCTCTCTATACTGAAGGCCCTTCTCCTTTCTTACCTGGAGTACTGGAATAGTGTCCCAACCCACCTCCTTATCTCTAGGGTTCTCTCTCTATAGTCTGTCTTCATAGTACTGGTAGCGTCATCTTTCTGAATTGTCATTGACTCACATCATTCTGTTTCAAATTCCTTATTGCCCTTCCACTTTGTACTAAATGAAGCTTAAACTCCTTAGCATGCTATTCTAGTTCTACATGATTGGGCCAGTACCTCTCCAGGCACTTAACCTCTCTGGGCCTCAGTTTCCTCCCATGGAACACGGGGGAAATAATTCTTGCCAGTAGGGTTATAGTGAGGATTAAATTTAAAATGCTTATAAAGCAGCAACACATTATTTGACACTTAGTAAGTATTCAGTAAATACTAGCTATTAGTAATATGATAATGCCATATTTTTGTTTTATGTTTTTCTGGACCCAGGCCTTCATATTTGCTGTCTCTTCTACCCTGAACTTCTTTACCCCTCTTTCCCTTGATTGAAATTCATCCTTTAGGACTCAGCTCATGTGCTACCCCCTCCTAGATACACTCCCTGACCCTCCATAATCCCATGGCACTTGTGCATACCTCTGGTAGCATGCCTTGCACATTGCAGTGAAGCGCTCTCTCTCTGTTAGCTTTATTGAGGTATAATTGGCAAATAAAAATTGTTTATATTCAAGATATATAATGTGATGTTTTGTTATACATACACATTGTGAAGTGAATACCACAATCAAGCTAATTAACATATTTCATCACCCCATACAAATGTCTAACAAATACATTAAAAGTTCCCCAGTATCACTAACCATCAGGGAAATGCAAACCAAAACCACTATGAAGGCATATCATTTCTTATCACTCTCCTCTCCTCATTTAGACTCATAAGCCCTTTGAAGACAGGAACTATCTTACTCATACTTGTATCCCAGTGACCAGCACAGGTCTAGGTATCTTAAATGTTTGATAAATTAGGCCGGGCGTGGTGGCTCACACCTGTAATCCCAGCAGTTTGGAAAAGCCAAGGCAGGCGGATCACTTGAGGTCAGGAGTTGGAGACCAGCCTGGCCAACATGGTGAAACCCCATCTCTACTAAAAACATAAAAATTAGCCGGGCTTGGGGGTGCATGCCTGTAGTCCCAGCTACTTGGGAGGCTGAGGCAGGAGAATCACTTGAATCCGGAAGGCGGAGGTTGCAGTGAGCCGGGATTGCGCCACTGCCCTACAACCTGAGTGACACAGCGAGACTCTGTCTCAAAAAAAAAAAAAGGGCCAGGTGAGATGGCTTACACTTGTAATCCCAGCACTTTCAGAGGCCAAGGCAGGTGGATCACGAGGTCAGGAGATCAAGACCATCCTGGCTAACACGGTGAAACCCCGTCTCTACCAAAAATACAAAAAATTAGCCGGGTGTGGTGGCATGTGCCTGTAATCCCAGCCACTTGGGAGGCTGGGGCAGGAGAATCGCTTGAACCCGGGAGGCAGAGGTTGCAGTAAGCCGAGATCGCATCACTGCACTCCAGCCTGGGTGACAGAGCGAGACTCTGTCTCAAAAATAAATAAATAAAAATAAATTTAAAAGTTTGACAAATTAGCAAATGGTGCTGGATGGCAGAAGACAGTTGACTAATACTACTGTTTATTAGGGAATTTAGAAGATGTGCCATAAAACTTTTTTTAGTTAATCTGTCATTTCAAATTTATCTAGTAGTGATAACTTTTCTTTAGTTATTATCAATTTTTTCCAAAATAAAATAACTTTATTATTATTTTTGAATATAAGTGATCCAGTGATACATGCCTTTTTTTTTTTTTTTTTTTTTTTTTTTTTGAGACAGAGTCTCGCTGTGTTGCCCAGGCTGGAGTGCAGTGGCACAGTCTCGGCTCACCGCAACTTCTGCCTCCCGGGTTCAAGCGATTATCCTGCCTCAGCCTCCAAAGTAGCTGGGATTACAGGCGCCCAATACCACTCCTGGCTAATTTTTTTTTTTTTTTGTATTTTTAGTAAAGACGGGGTTTCACCATGTTGGCCAGGCTGGTCTCAAACTCCTGACCTCAGGTGATCCACCTGCCTCGGCCTCCCAAAGTGCTGGGATTACAGGTGCGTGAGCCACTGCACCTGGCAGAGCTACCACGCCCGGCTACATGTCATTTTCAAAAAAGGCCGGGTGTGGTGGCTCACGCCTGTAACCCCAGCACTTTGGGAAGCCGAGGCGGGTTGGATTATGAGGTCAGGAGATCGAGACCATCCTGGCCAACACAGGGAAACCCTGTCTTTACTAAAAATACAAAAAAATTAGCTGGGCATGGTCGTGGGTGCCTGTAGTTCCAGCTACTCGGGAGGCTGAGGCAGGAGAATCACCTGAACCCGGGAGGCGGAGGTTGCAGAGAGCCGAGATCACGCCACTGCACTCCAGCCTGGGGACAGAGTGAGACTCCATTTCAAAAAAAAAAAGGGAAAAAAAAATAGAAAGTCTCACCCCTCAGAAATAACTACTGTTATAAAGTACTTTTAAATATATAAGCTTAAATGTGTGCTACTTAATTTTCCTGCTTAAAATTTCCCCTTAAAAGAATTATGTTTTAACAAATAGCATTAGAACATCCAGTTTAATGTAATTAAGCCACTACTTTTGTGTTCCACATTGCAAAGTAGCTTCCAGTCTTAAGTGATGAAATATGCTTTCTACTAAGACAGCCACGTGCTCTAGAAATGAAGGCTAAGATCCAGTCTGTTAAATTACCATGGAATTCCCTTGCTTTGTATGTGGCTGTTTACTTAGCAGTATATGCCCTTTATTCTGTGCTGATAGGCCATTCTTTGGTAATAGAGCAGCTTAAGTCTGAAGAGCTAAAGCTAAGGATCTAGAAGAAAGGAATAATCATTTATGGAAGCCAAAGATACCTTTTTTTTTTTAGGATAAATTTCTCTCCTTTTTGTTTTTGTTTTTGTTTTTTTGAGACAGAGTCTTGCTCTGTCACCCAGGCTGCAGTGACACGGCAAGCTTCCCAGTACCTGGGACTATAGGTGCGCACCACCATGCCTGGCTAATTTTTGTATTTTTTGTAGAGATGAGGTTTCGCCATGTTGGTCTTGAACACTTTTTTTTTGAGACAGAATCTCACTCTGTCATCTGGGCTGGAGTGCAGTGGCGCAATCTTGGCTCACTGCAACCTCCGCCTCCCAGGTTCAAGCGATTCTCCTGCCTCAGCCTCCTGAGTAGCTGGGACTACAGGCATATGCCACTGCGCCCAGCTGATTTTGGTATTTTTAGTAGAGACGAGGTTTCTCCATGTTGGTTGGCCAGGATGGTCTTGATCTCTTGACCTCGTGATCCATCCGCCTCGGCCTCCCAAAGTGCTGGGATTACAGGCGTGAGCCACCGCGCCCAGCCAGGTCTTGAACTCTTGAGCTCAAGTGATCCTCCTGCCTTGGCGTTCCAAAGTTTGGGATTACAGGCGTGAGCCACCATGCCTGGCCAGAAACTTCTTTTTTGTTTCCTGTGTTTTGTTCCCACTCTACCTGGCCGTTGACATAATTAACATGAAATTTGCAGGAATAGATCTCCTGGATTGTCTTCTCTATGTATGCTTTTCTTCCTGCTGTCCTTGTATTGTGTGTCCTAATTTTATTCTCCACCCACACCCCTTCCCCATCAAATTTGTTTTATAGAATAAATGTGTTTTTATATATCTTTGTCCCTCTTGTATAATCTTTTGATAATTGTCTACTTTCATTTTTGTGACATGTTCCTCTATGCGGAATGATACTAGTGAGTTTTTGCCAATAAATCCAATGTATGTAACTTGGAGCATTAGCTAGATTAACTTTTTGGTATGGTAAGACATCCTATAGCAGCAACAGATTTTAGCCCACAGTGTGATTAGGCTATTTGAATGGATGAAATTTGCTGTATTTGGATTTAATCTTCTAATCCAGTTTTTGTCTTTGGGGATGGTTGGAACATAGTCATCATAATGAGAACTATCAATTGTCTTTCATAGATAGTGTCTCTATCTTCCCAGTTTCTGTAAGTTCTCTTCCTGAGTGTTATTTGCTGCCTATTCTTACTACTTTTCTTATTTTAGATCACAGATTCTGCTGGCCATATTCTCTACTCCAAAGAGGATGCAACCAAGGGGAAATTTGCCTTTACCACTGAAGATTATGACATGTTTGAAGTGTGTTTTGAGAGCAAGGGTGAGTAATCAAGAGTGTTTCTCTGGATTAAGAATCTTCTCCAACTCTAATGCTCCTTAATACAGTCAGCACTTAATATCTAGTTTCATTTGTATTCTTTATTTATTCTGATTTGGAGACCTGTTACCTTGTAGTCTTTGGAGCACCTTTTAAAAGGTCGACTACATGGAATAAAAGATTGAATAGGTGGAACAGAGAGAATTTTTAGGGCAGTAAAAATATTCTGTATGATACTGTAATAGTGGATACATGTCATTATATGGTTGTCCGAACATTACATTTGGAATGTACACCAAGAGTGAATCCTAATGTAAACTGTGGACTTTGGTAGATAGTGATGTGTCCATGTAGGTTCATCATTTGTAATGAATGTACCACTCTGGTGGGAAATGGTGATAATGGGGGAGGCTATGCATATGTAAGAGGAAGGGGGATATGGGAAATCTTTGTGCCTTCCTCTCAGTTTTGTTGTGAACCTAAAACTGCTCTAACAAAGTGAAGTCTTAAAAAAAAGGCTGGGCATGGTGGCTCATGCCTGTAATCCCAGCACTTTGGGAGGCCAAGGCAGGCAGATCACTGAAGGTTAGGAGTTTGAGACCAGCCTGGCCAACATGGTGAAACCCTGTCTCTACTAAAAATACAAAATTAGCTGGGCATGGTGGCTCGTGCCTGTAACCCTAGCTGCTCAGGAGGCTGAGGCAGGAGAATCACTTAAACCCAGGAGGTGGAGGTTGCAGTGAGCAAGATTGTGTCACTGCACTCCAGCCTGGGTGACAGAGTGAGACTCCATCTCAAAAAAATAAACAACAACAACAACAAAAAAAACTGGCCGGGCGCAGTGACTCACGCTTGTAATCCCAGCAGTTGGGAGGCCGAGGCGGGCGGATCACCTGAGGCCAGGAGTTTGAGACCAGCCTGGCCAACATGGCGAAACCCCATCTCTACTAAAAATACAAAAATTAGCCAGATGTGGTGGTGGCACATGCCTGTAATCCCAGCTACTCGGGAGGCTGAGGCAGGAGAATTGTTTGAACCCAGGAGGCAGAGATTGCAGTGAGCCAAGATCGTACCACTGCACTGCAGCCTGGGTGACAGAGCGAGACTCTGTCTCAAAACAAACAAAAAGGATTGTCTGTTTGCCAGGCAAATGCAGAGAGAAAAATTATGAAGGGTCCTTTTACAAAGGAGACTCTTTAGGGCTATGATGTCAGCTAAGAGGATAGGCTGACAGTTCTATGCAAGAGACTGTATAGTCTGGACTCGACCATTCTGAGAAATGGTGGTTAGGTGATTTCGTTGTGCAAATATTAAGTGTACTTACACAAACCTAGATGTTATAGCCTACTACCCACCTCGGCTATATGGTATAGCCTACTACTGCTCCTAGGCTACAAAGCTGTAAAGCATGTGACTGTACTGAATACTGTAGGCAGTTAGAACACAATGCTATTTGTGTATCTAAACATAGAAAAGATATAGTAAAAATACAGTATTATAATAATCTTATGGGACCACCTTCATATATGCAGTCTGTCCTCGACTGAACTGTCTTCATGTAGTGCATGACTGTACTGTGCTGTGACAATCAGGGAGGTAGTTGGAAGACCTTGTAAGAAAGAAGATATCCTGATCATTTGGACCAGGTGGGGCTGTGAACTGCTTAAGTTTCACAACTTTTTCAATGAGGAAGTACATCTTCCATGGACAATGTCGTAATCAGGATTACACATTGGATTTGGGAGAACAGAACACTCTGGGTGCCACATTTTGTTTTGTTTTGTTTGAAGACTTGTTGTTTTCATGCTCAGAAGACACATGTGACTTGTCTTACTTTGTTCTCAGTCTTACCCTGTGCAGTCTTATTTATATTTCTCTTGCTTTCGAGTTAATCTTTCCAGTCTATCCAAAAGAAGTCCTTTTTTTGTGTGTGTGTGAAACAAGAGTCTTGCTCTGTCACCCAGGCTGGAGTGCAGTGGTGCGATCTTGGCTCACTGCAACTTTACCGGGTTCAAGTGATTCTCATGCCTCAGCCTCCGGAGTAGCTGGAACTACAGGCACGCACCACTGCGCCTGGCTAATTTGTGTATTTTTAGTAGAGACGGGTTTCATCATGTTGGCCAAGCTGGTCTCGAACTCGAACCTCAAGAGATCCACCTGCCTTGGCCTCCCAAAGTGCTGGGATTACAGGCATGAGCCACCGTGCCCATCCCAAAAGAAGTTCTTTACTGTCTTTCAAGCATGCCATACTCCGATTTTAATATCTGAGCCTTTGCTCATGCTTTGCCGTCTGCCTAGAGTACTTTGCCTAAGTCCTGCCTTTAGGTGTTCCCTTTTTAGTGAAGTCTGTCCACAACTACAATCTTCTCTCCTCTTCCCTTTGCTCCATATTGGAATTGTCTGAACCAGTTCCTTTGGCTTAAACTTTTACAGTGCTTTGCATTTTCACCATAGTTGTTTTGTGTATATGTCTTAGATCCCAATTGAATTATTTGAAGGCAGGGATTGTATCCTGGCTTAGTCCATTTTGTGCTGCTATAACAGAACATCGCAGAGTGGGTATAAACAGTAGAAATTTGTTTGGTTCATGGTTCTGGAGTCTGGAAAGTCCAAGATCAAGGGGCCACATCTGGTGAGGGCCTTTTTGCTGTGTCACAATAACATGGCAGAAGGTATCACATGGCAAGAGAATGCACAGGAGAGCAAGAAGGGGCTGAACTCACTTTTATAACAAACCTACTTCTATGATAATGACATTAAATCTATTGATGAGGGCAGAGCCCCATGACCTAGTCAATTCTTAAAGGTCCTACTTCTCCGCCAGGCACAGTGGCTCATGCCTATAATCCCAGCACTTTGGGAGGCTGAGGCAGGAGGATCGCTTGAGCCCAGGAGTTCCAGATCAGCCTGGACAGTATAGCGAGACCCTGTCTCTACAAAAAATACAAAAATTACCTGGGTGTGGTGGCTCACGCCTGTAGTCCCAGCTACTTGAAAGACTGAAGTGGGAGGATTGCTTGAGCCCAGGAGTTCGAGGCTACAGTGAGCCATGATGGTGCGTGCCACTGCACTCCAGCTTGGAAGACAAGAGTAAGAACCTGTCTCAAAAAATTTTTTTTAATTAAATAAATAAAATTAAAGGTTTTACCTCTCAACACTGTTGCATTGGGGATTAAGTTTCCAACACATGAACTTTGAGAGGGGCACATCGAAGCCGTAGCATATCTCTTTAAAATCTCCAGCACAGTTTTAGTACTTAGTGAGTTTTCAATGAGTAGTTATTGAATTGACTTCAGTTCATTTCAGAAAACTTCCAGTGTCTCTCAGGCATCAGAGGGTACAGTACCATTCAGTGTGGCTTATGGTTTCAGGAACCCCAGTGCTTCAGTGGCACTGTTTCCCACAACTTCTAATTTCATGCAGGCAGTTGTAAATTTTATAACTAGGTGAATTCCAGGGGATTGGGGCTGAACAGTTTTCTGGGGCTCCTTGGGTCTTTTCCTTTCTCCTACTTGATGATTTAAGATTAGAATGCTTCTTTGATCCAGCTGAATCAGATTGACTCTTCTAACATGAACTCTATTATAAGAAGCATCCCTGAGATTTGAACACTTAAAGTTGTTTTTTTTTTTTCCTTGAGCTGTTGTAACTCTTTTAAGGGCTTAGTGGGAATAGCTCTATGACATTGTACTCCTACTGAACTAGGCCATACATTGATCAAAATGTTTGAATTAAAGTGGAATATTAGATAAAACTTATGTTCTTTTCAGTACTCAGATTTATATTAAGTAAATCCAAGCTTAGCACATATCCAATAATCCTAATTCATCATGGCCTTCCCTCAAAATTTGACAGGGCAACCTTTTCAGATGTGGAAATACACATTTTCAGCCGAAGTTGTTGCCTACTATCTCTTGATTTATATGCCACTCAATTTCACACTGTTTTGATTTTTGAGTTTTATTTCCCAATTCAATAAGCCTGTGTGGTTTCCCTTCTGTTCTGTTCCTCTGTAGTACCAGTTGCAGTATCTTGTGTCCTTGCCTGCTCAGAGATGTTTGCCAGCAGCATGTTCTTGTTGCTTTCCGGCACCCCACACAGATAGAGGCTTTGTCTGGAATGTTTGTGATTTTAGCCAGAGCCAGGAATTTTCTGCAACTGAGCAGGGGGAGGAGTTGTGGCTGTTTCCCTCTATTGAGAGGGTAGGGGTTCTGTAGAGGGAGGGCGGGCGGGTGGGTGGGTAATTTCCCAGAATTTTAAGTATTTCACACAATGATTCCTTTGATTTCTTTCTCAGGAACAGGGCGGATACCTGACCAACTCGTGATCCTAGACATGAAGCATGGAGTGGAGGCGAAAAATTACGAAGAGGTATGTCCTGCTCTAACAGCCAGAGGAGGCAGCAGTGTGCTATGCTGTGAGGTTTCTGTGACCTCGGCAGGCCAACAGGCTGTGCTTTGCCCAAAGGGCTGTGGTTTCTTAGCAGTCTTGTGACAGCCAGCCATGATCTTACTGATACAAAAAGTGGTATTAACAGCCTTAGCCGGGCGCGGTGGCTCACTCCTGTAATCCCAGCACTTTGGGAGGCCAAGGCGGGTGGATCGCCTGAGGTCAGGAGTTCGATACCAGCCTGGTCAACATGGTGACACCAAGTTTCTACTAAAAATACAAAAATTAGCCAGGAGTGGTGGCGTGCGCCTGTAATCCCAGCTAGTCTACTCGGGAGGCTGAGGCAGGAGAATTGCTGGAACCTGGGGGGCAGAGGCTGCAGTGAGCCGAGATCGTGCCACTGCACTCCAGCCTGGGCGACAGGGCAAGGCTCCATCTCAAAAAAAAAAAAAAAAAAAAACAGCCTTGAAGAATAATTCTGGCTGTGCTGTCAGCCAAAGACTGAACAAACTGTCCCACAGAATGTTGGTTTGATAAAACACTGAAGCATATGGCATTAGTTCTCTTGAACTGTGTGTGTGTAGAGAGAGATATTTTAAATTTTTTAAAGCTGGAATTCAGTTATTTGTTAATGCCCAAGGTTAAGAAAAGTGATTTGTTTTTAATTCCTAAGACTTTTTCCCCAAGACCAACAGTTGTATATCTATCTATCTATCTATCTATCTATCTATCTATCTGGGGCATGGATTCAGTGCTGTTTAGTCTTGAACAACTGTTTTGTGTTTGGGAAATAACAATAGTCAAAGATAGTTTTTAGTTAAAATAATTTCAAACTTTCAAGGAAGAGGGCAGGATGGAGGAAAAAGCTGCAAGAGACTAGGAATGGTGATAATAGAAATTTGATGCTGATAAGAAGTTATTTATTATAGACTAATAAAAACTGACACTTATTTGGGTGACAGGGAGATGGAGGTGTACACAGAATGAGGAGAAGGACAACAGCCTTTTTCATCTCTGCGAGACTTGGGGGCAGCACAAAAGGGTTCTTCAAATGAAGGGCACCTTTGAAAAACCACAAGAACTATTTAAGACTAGATAATTGATCTTTACAGAAAGATAAGAGTATTTTTACCCAACAAAACAGTACGTAAGGGCATGAAGGAGGAGTGGGGTACAGGAAATAGAATGGGCTTTTGAAGAATGCAAACTAAGTAAATGAAGGAAAATTGGTTTAAGTGATTTAGGAAAATTGTCTAGGAATAGTGGAACAGAAGTTGCTCTCTCTTTGGACAGCACTTTGGAAGGGAAATATCCTAAAATGGAAGAAGATTGGAAATGACTGGTTAATTCTGCAACAGGAAGTAGTACAACAGTTGCAGCTCTTTCCTTGTTCAAATCCTCAATTGAATGAAACTAGGTAGCGTTATTTAGAGGCAGTAAATAGGAGCAAGTGATACAGTTGTGAATGGGAGACAGTTTCCGGTAGAGAATTTTCAATTGTTTGTTTCTGTTTCCAGGCTAGTTTAATTTAAATAAATAAAACAAGAAGACCTCTTTATTTGATGAACTTGAGTAAATTGAAAAATTTTTTTAAACCTTCATGATTCAGAAGAATCTTAATTATATTTAAATAAGATTATGTTAAAGTGCTTTTATAAGATATAAAACACTAGGGAGAATGTTCTCATTATTATAAGGTAGAAGAATAGGTAAAATGATTTCCAGTTTGTGGTTACTGCTTCTGTTCCCGAACTGTGGACCATTCTCAGTTGAATTTGTACTCTGTGGAATTTTACCTATTGTAATCTTTTTCTCCAACATGATGCCTGTCATTAAGGGTATTTATTTATTTATTTATTGAGATGGAGTCTCGCTTGGTTGCCCAGGCTGGAGTGCAGTGGCGGGATCTCTGCTCACTGCAAGCTCCGCCTCCCGGGTTCACGCCATTCTCCTGCCTCAGCCTCCCGAGTAGCTGGGACTACAGGCACCCATCACCACGCCCAGCTAATTTTTTGTATTTTTAGTAGAGACGGGGTTTCACCATGTTAGCCAGGATGGTCTCGATCTCCTGACCTCGTGATCTGCCTGTCTTGGCCTCCCAAAGTGCTGGCGGATTACATGCGTGAGGCACCGCGCCCAGCCCAAGGGTATTTATTAAATAACAACACATCAATGCCCTATTAGACAGTAGACATAGCTAGTTCCCCTCAAAAACAGATGACATTATTGTGGGTTTATATAAAGAATGCTTTGGACACAGCTGTCGTATAGCATTTTAGAACCCCTATACCTCCTGGAATTTCCATCATCCTTGGACTTTATAGACATTAGGAAAGGGGCTTTATCTTTCCTGACCTTTTGCTTAACCCAAGAGGGGAATCCCTAGCCCAAAGAAAACCACGGTGCTTCCTTTGCCTGCTTCCTGCTTCAGACGTCTGACATGTCCTAAGCCTGCCTTTACGCATGTAGTTACAACACAGCTCCAAGGTTCTGCTTCTTAACCAAGAAACTCCTCCCCACTACTTTCTTTAACATCTATCCCCACCCTCCTGCCCTTCACCCCTGCTCCCCAGCAGCAGACCAGATTGATGTAGAGGAGGAATGGCTATGACACAGTCCGAAGACCAGCCCTTTCTTCAGTCTGCAGCAAGGCTGCCTTGAACCTTGCTTAGAAATGGCTGTTAGCTGGCAGGGCACGGTGGCTCACACCTGTAATCCCAGCACTTTGGGAGGCCAAGGTGGGTGGATCACCCAAGGTCAGGAGTTGGAGACCAGCCTGGCCAACCTGGCGAAAACCCCATCTCTACTAAAAATACAAAAATTAGCCGGGCATGGTGGCGGGTACCTGTAGTCCCAACTACTCGGGAGGCTGAAGCAAGAGAATCACTTGAACGATTTAATTTCAGGCCCTTGAGATAATGGAGAGGCTTTATCTCCAGAGGATTTGGAATCTTTGGCATCAGCATTAAGATTCGGGAATGTGGCATACTTCTTTAATTTTCATGTCCAACACATCTCTCCCTCATATCTGTGGACTCATAATTCTGAAATCCCATGTGGTCCTGTAAGATTGAATAGTAATTGTACCACACTACCTACCTAAATTGTTATTAATTAATCCATGTGAAATTGCTATGTAACACAATACAAATGTAAGATGATATTATTTGGAAGACAGAATGCTTGTCATACTGTGAAGAAGCATTAAGTCTTGTTGTTTGAATTCTTTAAAGAGAAAGAATGCCTTTGTCCTCGGAAATAAAGCACTTTTGATTTTGATTTCTTGCATTTTATTTTATGAACCTCTGACCACTGTCTCACTTCTGCCCTTCAGAGGGTGTATCTTTGTAGATTCAGGATGTGAACCGAGCCACTTCTTTTTAGTTTGTCATCTGTGAACTAGAGCAGTTGTTTGTAGGGACTTACTGTCTGTGCAGTTGGGAGAATGCAGGCAATTACTGTCCGACAAAGAAGGAGCTATCTGACACATCTTCTAACTCCTGGGCTGTGTGTCCCACGAGTAAAATACCGCTTTGCCTAGGCGATTCTATTTGTCTGTCATTTGCTATCAATCTATATTCCAAAAACACAGCTGCCCTGGTTGGAGCAACAGCTGAAGACTTTCCAAAAGTTCTGTTTCTCTGAGTGCTCTCAGGAAGGAGGAACTCTGATTCCATGTACTAGATCCAAAGTCCTTTTTTTTTTTTTTTTTGAGACAGAGTATCACTCAGTTATTCAGGCTGTAGTGCAGTGGCGTGATCTTAGCTCACTGCAACCTCTGCCTCCCGGGTTCAAACAATTATTCTGCCTCAGCCTCCCGAGTAGCTGGGATTACAAGTGTGCACCACCACACCCAGCTAATTTTTGTATTTTTAGTAGAGACAGGGTTTCACCATGTAGGCCAGGCTGGTCTCCAACTCCTGACCTCAAGTGATCTGGCCACCTCGGCCTCCCAAAGTGCTGGGATTACAGGCATGAGCCACTGTGCCAGCTCTGTTATGTTTATCTTGCTTGTGTTAGACTAGATGGTCTTCACATTTATTGCTGTGCTCCTGGAGTTGGTGGGGGCTGTGGTGGGAGGCATGGAGGCAGCAAACTACTTTGACTGAATTTGTCTTGTCACAAGAAGCTTCTCTCTTGGATCTTGATGCTCCACCAAGGAAAAGAATTTAGAGATTCCCTAGAGGTTAGATTAACACCTCTGTTTTAAGAAGCAGTTTTTTCAGAGAATTAATACCTTTTCTTGGTACAGTTACATATAACTCTGTGAACTCTTTAGATTCAAATCTTCATTATAATGGAAGATTTGGATATGGTTTTAGAAGAGTTTAATTTTACTGGTATTTTGGAGGTGTTATACAGAAAAAGGCTTTGTAACTTGTAGCTTTTCCAAACAGTACCTACCATGACCAGTAAGAATGATGTTAATAGATATGGTGGTAGAGAAGGCTTTCTCCTAGGCGGCGGGCCTCATGAAAATAGATGCAGGCTGGGCGCGGTGGCTCACACCTGTAATCCCAGCACTTTGGAAGGCTGAGGCAGGTGGATCACCTGAGGTCAGGAGTTCAAGACCAACTTGGCCAACATGGTGAAACCCTGTCTCTACTAAAAATACAAAAATTAGCTGGGTGTGGTGGCAGGCGCCTGTAATCCCAGCTACTCGGGAAGCTGAGGCAGGAGAATCATTTGAACCTGGGAGGCAGAGGTTGCAGTGAGCCAAGATCGTGCCACTGCACTCCAGCATGGGTGACAAAGCAAAACTCTATCTCAAAAAAATAAAAAAAAGAAAGAAAAAAAATCAATGCAGAGTGCTTTTAGTATACAAGAAACACTTGCTTCAGGGGACCAGCAGCACTTAGCTACTTTGAGAAAGTTGGCTTCTTTGAAGAAGGCATAGAGTGGGCAGAACAGGTCAATTACAAGTGTTTACCAAGTCTCAGGTCTTTACGACTATATAAACTATAAATCATTTTAATTTCCTTGAGTTCAGGAGCCAAACTAGTGTGGAGGGACAGGATAAAAATAAAACAATTTGTGAATATGACAATATATGATTGAGTGTTAACTGTGTGACACAGTATGTGTTGTAGGGCTTCAGGGAAGACAGTGTGGACAAGAGTGGTTGAAGGAGGCTTTCAAGGAGGCTTGAAAGATAGGTCAGATTTGGGTACAGAGAGCATAAATGCTTTTGGAAGTCAGGGATTCTGTTCTCGAATTTTACAGCAGAGTTTGGCAGTTTAAATGCTGTGATCACCCTGGGTAGGGAGTTAAGAGACCATGGTACTGTTAATTTTGGTTGGACACCCAAAGGGCTGAGTAACTTTATGGAATCTTTAGTTTCCTCATTTGAAAAATGAGGGACTCACTGCAAAATGAAGCACCTTGTAACTATAACATCCTTTGATTATTTAACAACTACATGCAGCTTGCCAGGGGGATATCACCCCCTATTGGAGAACCTGTGGTGCACATTGTCTTACAGACTTGGCAAAACATACCTCATGCTTCCAGTGATGAAGGAGAGTAGAATAGAATACCAGCCTGCCTTCATGAAACATGTATAATTTGGCATTTTTACAGATACTCTGAACAGTTCAATCAACTGCTTACAAGAGCAGAACAACAGAAAGTGGGAATTTTGATATTGAGGATTTTTTAGCTTTTTGTACTGTGATATAAAGCCTCAATGCTATGTATTGAATGCTTAGTCCAGAGCAAGTAAAGAGCGTCTTCTTGAGAATACTTACCATGATTTGTTTTAAAATTTTACTCTGTTGCCCTGCAAAAATAATAGCAATGGGAAACCCAGGAAGTTTATTAGTCAAACTTTATTAGTCAAGCAAACAGGACAACTTATATAGATCCTTGTGGCCTAATATAGCTTGTTCATTTCACCTTTGATTCAGGAAAAACTTAGTATACTCATCTGGTTTTCTTTATTAAATTTCTAGTACTTACAGAATAAACTCACATAGACTTGGATTCTAATGCCAACTGCACCAAGCTGTGATACTTTGGGCAAATTATTTAATACCTCAGAGCCTTAGTTTCCTCATCTGCAAAACTTAAGGATAAAAATATTCACCTTATAGGGTTACGAGGATTAAATGAGATTACAAAATATACTACATTGTGAGCATATATGAATGGCTCTGATTCATTATACTACCTTTTTCATCCCCTTCCCTAATTTAGTCTCAGCCTAACTTTTGAGCCTTTTATTTGCTATTATCCCCTACCCTCCCCAAGCACAAGTGTGTGGCAGTTATGTGTGTACATGCACACATACCCTATAGTCTAGTTTCTAGCACACCAGACTACTTATGTCTAGACTATTCGTAGTTGCTAAACATGCCTGCACTTTACTCCCTCCGTGTTTTGGTTTACAGGTTCCCCTCAGCCTTGAATGCCCTCTCAAAAGTCCTGCCCAACTTGTGAGACCCAGCTCACCCACTTCCTGTTAAGCTTCACTTTGTCCTCCCAACTAGAACTGTTTTTAATGTGTATTTTTTGTTATAGAAGTTACTACATAAAGCCATATATTATGGTTATAACTTACTATATAAGCTGTGAGAGCTTAAGATCATAACTTACCTTGGTACCTTGCACATAATAAGAACTCAGAAAAAAACGTTAAGGCCTTAAAATGTTTAAAAAAAATCAAGAAACTTTTTTATATTTGTTTTAAGCTGGTAATAAAAGTCTATTGTTATATATTCTTGCAATAAAGTTTTTTTTTCTTTATTATTATTACTACTTTGTAATAGAGATGGGGTCTTGCTGTGTTGCCCAGCCTGGTCTCCAGCAATCCACCTGCCTTGGCTTCCCAAAGTGCTGGTATTACTGGCATGAGCCACTGTGCCCTGCCTGCAGTGAAGGTTTTTTGTTTTTTGTTTTAAACCACTGACTACTACTACTACTTCTTCATTTATTTATTTTTTTGAGACAGAGTCCACCCAGCCCAGGCTGGAGTGCAGCGGTGCCATCTCAGCTCACTGCAACCTCTGCCTCCCAGGTTCAAAGGATTCTCGTGCCTCAGCCTCCTGAGTAGCTGGGACTACAGGCATGCGCCACCATGCCCAGCTAATTTTTGTAATTTTAATAAAGACTGGGTTTCACCATGTTGGCCAGGCTGGTCTCAAACTCCTGGTCTCAAGTGATCCATCCGCTTCAGCCTCCCAAAGTGCTGAGATTACAGGCGTGAGCCACCACACCTGGCTAATTTTTTTCTTTTGTAAAAATAAACAGGCCAGGCCCAGTGGCTCACGCCTGTAATCCCAGCACTTTGGGAGGCCGAGGAGGGCGGATCATGAGGTCACAAGTTCGAGACCAGCCTGACCAACATGGTGAAACCCTGTCTCTACTAAAAATACAAAAATTAGCTGGGCGTGGTGGCACGTGCCTGTAATCCCAGCTACTTGGGAGGCTGAGGCAGGAGAATCTGGGTGACAGAGCAAGAGTCCATCTCAAAAAGAATAAACAACAGAAATTTATTTCTCATAGTTCTGGAGTCTAGGAAGTTCAAGATCAGGGTGCCAGTGTGGTCAGGTTCTGGTGAGGGTCCTCTTCTGAATGCATACTGCCTCCTCACTGTGTTCTCACATGGAGGAAGGCGGAATTACTTTCCTTAATAGCATTTAATTGTTAAGTCCGTCAGATTTTGGTGGTTTGAAAAGATCTTTGTTCTTTGATTTCCTCCAAATATTATTTGGATTTCTAGGTTTAGATTCAACATAGAAATATATCCATGATTGTTGTTTTTTACTATTGAGTATCCATGGTGTACTAGGTGTTTGGAATGGCAAGCTAGATTTCAGTACTGTTTTAGTCTCTTGAGATTTCTTTAAGATTTCTAGATTTTAAATTAGTATCATGAGTGAAGGTACTTATTAGGCAAAAATGGCTTCTAGGAAATGAGACCAAAATGAGACCTTCATCCCACTAATGAAGGTCTGAAAATAATTTTCTGGATGAAAGATGGGATTCAATAGATTTTTTTTTTTTTTTTTTGAGTCGGAGTCTCAGTTTGTCTCCCAGGATGGAGTATAGTGGCATGATCTTGGCTCACTGCAGCCTTGACCTCCCAGGCTCAAGTGATCCTCCTGCCTCAGCCTCTCGAAGTATTGGGATAACAGGTGTGAGCCACCACGCTTGGCCTCAGCAGAGATTTTGTTGAGGAAATAAAATCAACTTTGAAGATAGGAATTTGACTGTTTGGTTATGAATAGAGGTGTAGAGTCTGAAGTAGCACCTGTACTAGAAAAGGGGTTGGGAATTGAATGATTAACTAAACAATGTGGAATACTAGCTGTGTGGAATGCTGTGCAGCAGTTAAGAATAAGATGAATTGATAAGCACTGACATTTTTGGAAAGATCTTACTAAATGGAAAAAAGCTATAGAACAATGTGTGTAGTATGCCATTTATAAATAGATTTTAAGTTATATTTTTCTGTGTACATTTACATACAAAAGCATAGTGTCTCAGAAGAAAAGGTGTGGAAAGATAATACATCAAGTTTATAAGCATCTTTACCTCTGGAAAGCAATGTGGGAATTGAGGAACCATGAAGGTAGACTTTTGGTTTATATTCTCTTTGCTTCTGGATAGTTTAAATTTTTAGCCAAAGAATATATTTATGTGTTGGTTGTACAACTAAAAAATAAGTTTTATTACTGGAAAGGGATTGGGAACAGCTTGTGGGGGGCTGTAATCTACAAAAGCCATCTTCAGTACCAGGTTTAATTCCATCATTGTTTTTCGGGTTTTAGGTCTCTGGACTATTGTCCTTTAACAACAACAACAACAAAAATAAAAAAAAAAAAAAAAAAAAGAAGCAAAGGCTGTGGGATTCAGTAGGCTTTAAAGTAATTTTTTTTTTAATATCATTTTCAGCTGGCAGAGGCACAGCCATAGTTTCACTTCCAGTTTCTTTTGCAAGTTTCTATTTAGGGAACTTTAAATAATTTATCTCTAAGAAGTATCATGCCATTTCCTTTATACTGTCTCATTTAGGAAGCTCTGAGTGGGGAAGTATAGAGCAGGAGGGAAGATGTTAGACTAAGGTTCAGCTTGTATAGCTCCTGTATTTTTCTTGAGGAATTTTTTTTTGTTCTGCAGCTCTATATGAGATCAATGAACAGATATATATTCTGGGTTAATGACAAAACCTGGCATTTGGCCATTCACTTAGGAAAGTTAGCTCTGTGCATTAACTATTGGTTAAATCTTACACCCAGAAGCTGTTCTGCAGTTACCAGTCACACCGTTAACTCTAGCCAACATTTTACAAACGCAAGAAAATGTGCTTCTGGTGAGAGAAAACTGTAGGTGTATCATCGCAAGTCTATCACCATATTTTTATGGACCTTAAATATAAACTCAATTTTTACATCCCAATTTTAACAGCAGTTTGTTTTATTTTAAATAACTTTTGTTCATCACACATTTAGTGAAGAATATAATAAGAAAACATAAAATAAATGCCTCCTATTCATCCCTTGTTAACTGCTGTTAACATTTCACAAAGAAAAGGACAAGGACAATGAATTGAACAAAGGAGAGAAAAAAAAGTGGGCCATAGGGAATGTACAGTAAATAGGGAGTAAAGAAGCAGATATATAAACAGAATTATTAAGGCCAGGTGCAGTGGCTCACGCCTGTAATCCCAGCACTTTGGGAGGTCGAGGTGGATGGATCACCTGAGGTTAGGAGTTCAAGACCAGCCTGGCCAACGTGGTGAAATCTCATCTCTACTGAACATATAAAAATTAGCTGGGTGGGGTGGCACACACCTGTAATCCCAGCTACTCAGGAGGCTGAGGTGGGAGGATTTTTTTGAACCTGGGAGGCAGAGGTTGCAGTGAGCCAAGATCATACCACTGTACTCCAGCCTGGGCAACAGAGTGAGACTCCATCCTTAAAAAAAAAAAAAAAAGAAAGAAAGAAACAGAATTTTTTTTTTTTTTTTTGAGATGGAGTCTCGCTCTGTCACCCATCCTGGAGTGCAGTGGCACAATCTCAACTCACTGCAAGCTCCGCCTCCTGGGTTCACGCCATTCTCCTGCCGCAGCCTCCCGAGTAGCTGGGACTACAGGCGCCCGCCACCACGCCCAGCTATTTTTTTTTTTTATTTTTAGTAGAGACGGGGTTTCACCGTGTTAGCCAGGATGGTCTCGATCTCCTGACCTCGTGTTCCACCCACCTCGGCCTCCCAAAGTGCTGGGATTACAGGTGTGAGCCACCACACCCGGCCAGAAACAGAATTATTAAAGAATTCTCTATGTGGAAACTTTAAGAGCAACTGGTATGTAAAAGTTTTAAGATCTGGAAAGCTGGCCGGGCATGGTGGATCACGCCTGTAATCTCAGCACTTTGGGAGGCCGAGGCAGGTGGATCACGAGGTCAAGAGATCGAGACCATCCTGACCAACATGGTGAAACCCCATCTCGACTAAAAATACAAAAAATTAGCTGGGTGTGGTGGCGCACGCCTGTAGTCCCAGCTACTTAGGAGGCTGAGGCAGGAGAATCACTTGAACCCAGGAGGCAGAGGTTGCAGTGAGCCAAAACCACACCACTGCACTCTAGCCTGGCAAGAGTGAGACTCCATCTCCAAAAAAAAAAAAAAAGATCTGGAAAGCTCTGGTGGTGTATCTCATTTTAAAGCAAAGCATAATCTAAGACTGATAAGAAAAAAACAATAATGACATCTTTGCTGGTGTGACAGATGCCTCTAGTTATTAGATACTCTTAAGAGTTTTCTTAGGGGTCTAACTTGAGAGCAGAAGACAGTTAATTTCTTTCTCACATCCTTCATTCCTCAGCATACAGGGAATTCCTTGAAGATTTCTTTTGATAACTGGCTGTGTCATTCTAAAAGAAAAAAATACATAAAAAATTCAGTGCAGTTTTCTCACATCTGAGCTCTGATATTAAACCTTAAAGTTGTTGTAGGATTTATATGAACCAGAATTCTCTAATTGTGTATTTTGAATTATTACTTTAATGCTATAACAACACATGCTCACATTCCTATGTACTGTCAAAGGTTTAATGAATTTAGTGGTTTTTCTTCTAAAACCAGGTTTGACTTAATATGACTCCCACATTTATTGTATTAACAATAGTTTACTTCTTAGACATGAGTGGAAGTGCAAAGTAAAGTGCTTTACTAAAGTCAAAAATCAGCTGGGCATGGTGGCTCACACTTGTAGTCCCAACACTTTGGGAGGCCAAGGCGGACAGATTGCTTGAGCTTAGGAGTTCGAGACCAGCCTGGGCAACATGGCAAAACCCCATCTCTAGAAAAAGTATAAAAATTAGCTGGGTGTGGCAGTGCATGACTGTGGTCCCAGCTACTTGGGATGCTGAGGCAAGAGGATTGCCTGAGCCCAGGAGGTCGAGCCTGCAGTGAGCCAAGACTGTGCCACTGCACTCCAGCCTGGGCAACAGAGTAAAACCCTGTCTCAAAAAAAAAGTAAAAAATCTTGAGACAATAGTATATCTTACTTTATAGCCTACGGTTATTATATTACTTCTAAGATTTTAGTCAAAATTAAAGTATCAAAAAAGGTCTGAAATGGAAAGATATAGTCTATAGGGAAAGAAAGAAGCCCAAATTTTAAAATATGTTAGGATGATTGATAGGAGAGAATTTAAATCTGGTGAAACTTTAAAAAAGACTTCTCTGTTGCCTTCTTTATGTTCTTGACTGAAGCGATGTTTTCAGAGAGCTGAAAATATTCCATTCTTTTCCAGATTGCAAAAGTTGAGAAGCTCAAACCATTAGAGGTAGAGCTGCGACGCCTAGAAGACCTTTCAGAATCTATTGTTAATGATTTTGCCTACATGAAGAAGAGAGAAGAGGAGATGCGTGATACCAACGGTGAGGGGGAAGGCGACTCTTACTTCTTAAGTGACCCATAAATGAGACAGTCTCCAAACTTTCAATTCTGGTGTACCCTTTTCTCAGTTTTGCCAAGGTGGGTATATGGAGGGGAAATTGCTTGCTTCGCTGTTGTTGCTGCTAAAGGTAAATGAGCCTTGTTAGATTTTCAAGAGAGTAGAAACTCCTACTGTGATAGGCAGGTGACAACATCCTCAATTAGTCTATACCCACATCAAACTGATAGCACCAATCTTTGTAATTTTCAACATTTATATATAGGATAATGAACTTTTATTTTTATTTATTTACTTATTTTTGAGATGGAGTCTCGCTCTGTCGCTCAGGCTGGAGTACGGTGGTGCGATCTCGGCTCACTGCAACCTCCGCCTCCTGGGTTCAAGCAATTCTCCTGCCTCAGCCTCCCAAGTAGCTGGGACTATAGGCACAAGCCACCATGCCTGGCTAATTTTTCGTATTTTTAATAGAGACAGAGTTAGCCAGGATGGTCTCGATCTCCTGACTTCATGATCTGCCTGCCTCAGCCTCCCAGAGTGCTGGGATTACAGGCTGGGATTACACCATGCCCAGCCAGGATAATGAACTTAAAAAGAAAAATTATCTGAAATCCTACTGTTAGACCTAGGGACAGAGTGAAGTTAATTAATTGCCTTTACCCACCTCCCCTGCCATTGTTTAGCCAGCTGAGGAGGCTCACTTCATTATGTTTACAATGCTTTTGTTTTTTTTTAGAGTCAACAAACACTCGGGTCCTATACTTCAGCATCTTTTCAATGTTCTGTCTCATTGGACTAGCTACCTGGCAGGTCTTCTACCTGCGACGCTTCTTCAAGGCCAAGAAATTGATTGAGTAATGAATGAGGCATATTCTCCTCCCACCTTGTACCTCAGCCAGCAGAACATCGCTGGGACGTGCCTGGCCTAAGGCATCCTACCAACAGCACCATCAAGGCACGTTGGAGCTTTCTTGCCAGAACTGATCTCTTTTGGTGTGGGAGGACATGGGGTACCACCTACACCCAACAAGTCAATGAGGGACTTCTTTTTAATTTGGTAGGATTTTGACTGGTTTTGCAACAATAGGTCTATTATTAGAGTCACCTATGACAAAAAATAGGGGTTACCTAGATAATGCCAAAGTCAGCATTTGTCCTGGGTTCCCTTGTGTGATCTGTTTGGACTATGTTTTCTTTTCTTCTCCCACTTGCTCAGCAGCTTGGGCTTCCATTCTAGTTCTTTTACCAAGATTTTTGTGTGACCATGTTGACTTCATTTGGATTGCCCTCTTTCAATTTCCTTGTGAAAACACCCTTAACTTTCTCTTTACCCTTAGCTGAAATGTTTACATAGCTTCTGGTGATATCTTTTCATGATTTTATATCTCTTAAAATGGTGATGGATGTGACACCTCATAAAAGTGAGCTTTGAACTGTAGATAACTCTTAAAGAAAATGTCATTTTAGACAATTAAAATATTTGTGCTCAACTGCTTGAACTTTTTTCGTGTATGTGTATTTAATTCTATGCAATATTATCACATGTGTAGATTCATGTGACCACCATCACAAGAGACAGAACAGTTCTGTCACATGGATCCCTTGCACTGCCCTTTTACAGCCGCAGCCACATCCCTTTCTTATACCCTCACCCCAACCTGTGGCTACCACTGTTCTGTCCTCCATCTCTGTAATTTTGTCATTTCAAGAATGTTGTATGAATGGAATCATACAGAATGTAATCTTACGAGGCTGATCTTTTTTCATTCAGCATAATTCCCTTGAAATCCATCCAAGTTGTTGCATGTATGAATAGTTTCTTCCTTTTTTTCTTTTAAAAATGTTTTATATATTTAGGGGGTATAAGTACAGATTTCTTACATGCATATATTGCATCGTGGTGAAGTGGGGGCAGTTCCTTTTGATTGCTGAGTAGTATTCCATGGTATGGATGTACCACAGTTTGCTTAACCATTCACCCACTAAAGGACATAAGAGTTGTTTTCAGTTTTTTGCCCTAATAAAGCTGCTGTGAACATTCATGTACAGGTTTTTATGTGAACATACATTTTCATTTTCTGGGATAAATGCTCAAAAGGGCAACTGTTGGGTTGTATGGTAAACACATATATTTTTGTAAGAAACTACCCTACTCTTTTTCCAGAGTGGCTCTACTTTTTACATACAGCCACTCATACAATTCAGACAGCAATGTATGATTGATCCAGTTTCTTCACATCCTCACCAGCATTTGGTATTACTACTATTTTTTATCTTAACCATTCACATAGATGTGTGTAATGATACCACATGTGGTTTTAATTTGCATTTCCAATGGCTAATGATGTTGAGTATCTTTTTGTGTGCTAATTTGCCATCTATGTATCCTCTTCGGTGAAATGTCTTCATGTCTTTTGTCTATTTTCTATTTAGGTCATTTGTTCTTTTTACTATTGAGTTTTGAGAGGTTTTTTATATATCCTAGATAAAATTCCTCTGTTAGATATGTGGTTGCTTGAATTTTTAACATAACTTCTACCAAGGAAAAATAAGTAAAATTTCCAACCCTTGCATGGCCAGTCACTTACTTAATTCCTGTCCTTCAGTGTTCCATCTAGAGAATTAAGAGATATGATGTATAAAATAGACATCGAGGGCCATTAAGAGAGTAAATACTTAAAAATACATGTTATGAAAGCAAAGCCAATAATCACTGTAGGAGTATGAGTTGCCTAAGGGCCAAAACTAATGTAAATAAGAGAAAGTGTGGATATAAATGACCATTGTTTATAAACAGTTATGAAAAATGCTGTGACTTGAAATCTTTCCCACATCTCCCAAGAAAGTAGGTAGGAGTTTATCCTTTCCGTAATCTCTTTTTAACCCTGCTGACTATTACAGGGCTTGTTTAATCACAGTGGCAAGAATTACATGTATCTTACAGTAAAGAAACAGAATACTGGAATCGTTAGAGAACCCTGATGTGTTGACCTGGATAAAGTACAAAGGTGGAAGAGGGAATGAGTTATGCTGTTAAAATCTCAGGCTATTCTGTTAATGTTCCTGCTACTATGAACCCAAACTTTTTTTTTCCCCCTTTTGACTCCTTGTGTCTTCCTCTCCTGTGGCATAAAAGTAGTTCTGTCGTTAACTTGTACAACATTGCCATCTGCTGTTGAGAATTGGTAGGTACTGCTTCTGAGAACCTGGCTGCAGATCCTTAGCATAGGCAGCAAATGTTGAGAAAGTCTATCTGTAGTATTACATATACTAAGTTACAGAGGATGCATCCAAGTAGAGAAAATAATATGTGGGTTAAGATACATCCTTAAACTTTTTTTTTTTTGGGGGGGGGGGGACGGAGTCTTGCTGCAACGCCCAGGCTGGAGTGCAATGGCACTATCTCAGCTCGCTGCAACCTTCACCTCCTGGGTTCAAGCAATTCTCCTGCCTCAGCCTCCTGAGTAGCTGGGAATATAGGTGCACACCACCATGCCTGGCTAATTTTTGTATTTTCAGTAGAAGCAGAGTTTCACCATATTGGCCAGGTTGGTCTCGAACTCCTGACCTCAAGTGATCTGCCTGCCTCAGCCTCCCAAAGTGCTGGGATTACACGCGTGAGCCACCACACCCAGCCTCCATCTTTAAACTTTTAAATGTGAAATTTCTATCATGTACCGTTAGCCTAACAAGATTTTCTTTCCTATTTCTGACTGGTGCCTTTCCCCTTTTTAGGAGCAACGAAAGCTACTCTCTTAGTTATGTTCTTGTGATGTGACAAAATGTCAAGAAGATAGGAGAAGAGAATATTTTATTTCGTTGATGCTTTTGTTCCCAAGTGTGACCCTAAACTTAAGCTTTGTAGGAGTTGACATTCTTTCATGTCCCTTCCCTTTACTCATGCCGAAACTATCAACTGGGACATTTTGTGCTTTTGGTTTAAAAGTTAATTGATATTATACTTTGGTTTTATCTAAAAAGTAAATGTATTTGCCTTTGACAAAAGACTGACACAAGAGCAAATAAGCTTTAAAATCGGGTGTTATGTGCTTTCCTCCATTTTTGAGCATATTATCCAAAATGGTCTGTATAATATAAATGAGAATGATGCAGTTTAAGTAAGCCTTGTTATACCATTGTCATGGACCCCTGTCATAAAGCCATTTCTTGGTTTGTTTGGGAAAGAGGCATATGGGATTTATACAGATTCACTTGTAAATGTTGGATTGGGGATTTTTGTGTAAATTTTCTCAAATAAAGGCTAGCAGAAACCATTTTAGGTGTACTGTTACTCTTGAGTACTTCTATGTCTGGATTGGTGATAATTCTTCCATATTTCTCTTTTAAATTATGGCAAATTATACCTGATGAATTAGAGAAAAAATATTGTTATTCTTCAGTTACTGCAGATCGATAGTTTATATGAGCTAGTAAAAGATTATCATATTTTGTATGTAATATATGTAAATTATATATATATATATAATTAAGAATCCTTAATTATGCATCCTCAGACCAAATATGGTTCTGTAAGCTAGGCATTTTATTCTCTTTATCTTCTCTCTTTTGGAAACTGTTACTATTAGGTTCGCACAAAAGTAATTGTGGTTTTTGCAATTAAAATTGCAATTGCATAGAATCACTCCTACAGAGAGCCATCTCCCCTGCCTTTCATTCCTAAAAGACCCCCACCCCCCACCCCCGGTATATGAATCCTCAGGACTCACTTTTTAGGCCTATCATATCCAATGCAAAACCCCACTCCAGGAGGTAAACGTCTTTTCTCCTCTCCTTTCACTTACAGTTGAACATTTTTCACAAAGCGACTTTCCAAGAGCCAATATGAAGTGCTTTGCACACCCACTGGCTGGCCTCTTATTTATCCTCTTATCTCCATTCTCCCTCAAATAAATTTTATTATGAATCCATAGTGTGTAAAGTAGTGGTTCCCATTATTGGGGTATAATTTTTTTTTCTTTTCTTTTTTTTTTTTTTTGAGACGGAGTTCACTCTTGTTGCCCAGGCTGGAGTACAATGGCATGATCTCGGCTCACCACAACCTCCGCCTTCCGGGTTCAAGCAATTCTCCTGCCTCAGCCTCCCGAGTAGCTGGGATTACAGGCATGTACCAGCACGCCCAGCTAATTTTGTATTTTTAGTAGAGATGGAGTTTCATTATGTTGGCCAGGCTGGTCTTGAACTCCCAACCTCGTGATCCACCCACCTCAGCCTCCCAAAGTGCTGGGATTACAGGCGTGAGCCACCGTGCCCGGCCCAATACATGCTTTATAAATCATTTATTTAGTCTGCTGCAGTGGTGTCTCATAAAATGTTGAGCTGCATGTATAATTTTAAATTTTCTAGTATCACATTAAAGAAGTAAAAAACAGGTAAAATTTGCTGATTCTCCAGCCTCCCGAGTAGCTGGGATTACAGGCACATGCCACCACGCCCAGGTAATTTTTGTATTTTTAGTAGAGATGGGGTTTCACCATGTTGGCCAGGATGGTCTCGAACTCCTGACCTCGTGGTCTGCTCACCTTGGCCTCCCAAAGTGCTGGAATTATAGGCATCAGCCACTGTGCCCAGCCGAAAATTATTTTTAGTAGTGTATTTAACCTAATATACCCAAAATATTATTTCAACATATAGTTAATATAAAAATGGTTAATGAGATGTTTTGCATTCCATTTTTCATATAAAATCTTGAAAATCCAGTGTGCATTTCAAGCTATACCGCATCTATAGCTTAAAATTAGACTAGCCACAATTCAAGTGTTGAGTAGCTATATGTAGCTAATGGCTACCGTGGCAGACAGTGAAGGGTATAAACTTGGGTTGGTCTTTGGTAGATTCTTTCATCTTGACAGTAACTCTATGGCCCCTGGGAATTTGCCATTCACAAATTGGAAACTAATGCAAAATAGCATTCTAACCATTCACTTGTTAAAGTACAATGTGGAAATAGTTTGGTTTCAACCAAAGGCGCTTTAAAATTTTACACCTTGGCCAGGTGCAGTGGCTCACACCTGTAATCCCAACACTTTAGCAGGCCAATCACTTGAGGTCAGGAGTTCGAGAACCAGCCTGGCCAACATGGCAGAATGCCCTCTCTACTAAAAATACAAAAATTAGCTGGGCATGGTGGCGGACGCTTGTAATCCCAGCTACTCAGGAGACTGAGGCATGAGAATCACTTGAACTTGGGAGGTGGAGGCTGCAGTGTGCTGAGATCATGCCACTGCACTCCATCCTGAGTGACAGAGTGAGACTGTCTCCAAAAAAAAAAAAAAAGTTATACCATTAGAATAAATGTTGACTATTTTTGAACTTATAAATATTCAAAGGTAAGACAATTAGTTTCAGTTATATCCAATATAATGAAGAATTCAGCAGGAATGTCTCTGCTCTATAATAGGACATGTTTCTTCTAGGCTTGTAGTATCTATGCATTATCATTAGAACAATTCAGTTTCAGGCCAACCACGTTATAGAAAACTAGTTCCTCGTTGCAAAGGTGCCAGAAAAAAATGAATTTTTAAGCTTAGGCTGAAATCTATTCAGCCTCTTTGAAAGTCAGCATTCCCAATTTTAAGTAATTGGTTTTTTCCCATTCAACTGAGAAACAATTTATTGAGCATCTTTTCTGTTTAACAGAGTTAATCGAGAATAACAGAATTAAGTTAATAGAATTAACAGATTTAAGCCAAACTAAACTCTGGAGTTTATCTAGATAAACAAGAGGCAATACCTATCCTCAAAGTGCCTTCTAATTAATAGGAGGATGTAGATGGAATGGCCTCTACCTGAAATGATCTCTCTACTTTGTTTAGACTTAACATTTTGTATATTCCTGCACTCACACAGCAAGTTTGGCTTGGACAGATGCCACTCCTAAATGCCTCTCTAGAATCTTGCACTTTAATAGCCCTTATAGAAACTGTTTTAATTGCCTGGTGGTTTTCTGTTACATGTAAGCTCTCTTAAAGTAGGAACTTTTCACAAATCGATATGACACAATGTATTTTTATGTATTTGAGACAGGTTCTCACTCTGTTGCCCAGGCTCGAGTGCAGTGGCATGATCTTGGCTCACCGCAACCTCCGCCTCCCCAGTTCAAGCAATTCTTGTGCCTCAGCGTCCCAAGTAGCTGGGATTACAGGTGTGTGCACGCCTGGCTAATTTTTGTATTTTTAGTGGACACGGGGTTTCACCATGTTGGCCAGGCTGAACTCGAACTCCAGGCTTCAAGTGATCGGCCCTCCCAAAGTGCTGGGATTACAAGTGTGAGCCACCACGCCCGGCTAGGCACATGGCTTTCTCTTAGCCCCATCACATCCTGCTTTTTCAGATTGCTGGGTTCAACTTCCCAGCTCCCTCTTACTAGGTCTGTCACATTAAGCAGGTTACTTAGGTACCTCTGTTTCTGTAAAATGGGAATGTTAGGATAATACATAATACATAATACATAGGATAATACATAATAATGTGAGATAATACGTAAAAAACCTTTAGCATAGTACCCAGAACATAACACTCAATAAATGTTAGCTGTTATGTCTGTGATGTAGACCACATTCTCACAACAAAACAAGCTTGGAGATGAGAAGTTGCCCAAGGTCACATAATTGCCCAAGGTCACATAACTGATGGAACACCTATTGTTCACCGTATTGCTGTTTTCCTACTTGACGGTAGGGAGAACATTATTGCAGATTTCCTGTTCCCAAACAGTGTGTGGCACCAAGTGCTCAAAGAATGTTTCATGATATCATATGGTCAAATATCTGGAAAAACACATAGAATAAATTGAATCTGGAAAAAGAGACGGGGGAGAAGGAAAGTGTCAGGAGAGTTGACTTAAAATATTTTTGGAGTTGTGTAGAAGAGGGAGGGACTTAGGATGGCCCTGGGAGAAAGAACTCGGCCCAGGGACCGAGATGACCGGAGGCAGACATTTAGGCTGTCTATATTATTATTATTTTTTTTTTTTTTGAGACAAAGTCTCGCTCTGTTATCCAGGCTGGAGTGTAGTGCGCGATCTCGGCTCGCTGCAACCTCCTCCTTCCGGGTTCAAGTGATTCACCTGCCTCAGCCTCTGGAGTAGCTGGGATTACAGGTGCCTGCCACCACGCCTGGCTAATTTTTGTATTTTATAGAGACGGGGTTTCACCAGTTGGTCAGGCTGGTCTCAAACGCCTGACCTCAGGTGATCCGCCCGCCTCGGCTTCCTAACATGCTGAGATTACAGGCGTGAGCCACCTTGCCCGGCCATATTATCTTTACTATACTATCTCTCTAAAAAAGAATGCTGTCCAACGTTGGAATGGGGAAGAAGGTGTACACTGGGAATGCTTCCCCAATCACCCTCTTGTCACAGACCTGACGTCAAGATGAGACTGGACGACCTCTGGGCCTCCAAGTTGTATGAGTCCGGACCGGGGAGGCAGAGAAGGGTCAATAGACCCGAGAGGCCGTACCGTCAGTGATGCCCTTGTTCCCGTGGGAGCCCTTCGGTTCCACGCGGTTCCCACCACGCGCCCGCCAACCCTAGCCCGAGGCCTCACTTTGCAGGCCTTCCCCGAAAGCGGGAAGCCTTGGCCGCTAGACTAGCCAAGAGGGTAAGCAAAGGCGGAGGAAACTCAGCCAGGCCGGAAACACAGAGAACTGTTTCCGGGTCGGGGGGCAGGAGCCACCATCGAGCTTCGCGGGGTTGCTGGGCTGACGGATCCGCGGGCCGGCATCTGAAGCGAGCGGGACGCAGCGCGGCCAGGGCCTCCGGGCATACGCAGGCTGGTCCCCAAGGCCCGCGGCCGCCGCCATGTCGGTGCTGGGCGAGTACGAGCGACACTGCGATTCCATCAACTCGGACTTTGGGAGCGAGTCCGGGGGTTGCGGGGACTCGAGTCCGGGGCCTAGCGCCAGTCAGGGGCCGCGAGCCGGCGGCGGCGCGGCGGAGCAGGAGGAACTGCACTACATCCCCATCCGCGTCCTGGGCCGCGGCGCCTTCGGGGAAGCCACGCTGTACCGCCGCACCGAGGTAGCGGCCCTCGGCGCCGGCCGCCCTGTCTGGCGCTGTCGGGTCGCCCCGAGTCCCTCCTTCTCGGCCCCGCTTTCCCAGCGTCGTGAGCTTAGTGCTTTAGGCGCCCACGGGGTATATGTCTTAGGGTCTTCACCACTCTTCCCACTCACCGGCACTAGAAATTGGCTAGATCATTGGTTTGACTAGTCATTTTTGATTGTCCTAAGTCACCTAACCGTCTCTTGAGCTTTAGTTTCCCCATCTGTAAAATGGGCTTACTGATAATACCTTGAAATCATCTTTTTCTTTTTTTTTTAAGATTATCTTGAGAATCAAACGAAGGCTCTGTTCTGTAAATTAAAGTGGTATACGAATGTGAGGTATTGCCAAAACTTCCTTCCTCTCATGCTGTATATATAGTTCTCCAAGGTCGGGGTGAGGAGGAGGGGCATAGCTTCAAAATCCCCACACCCGTGGCAACTCCGTTATTTTTGTCATTATCTTTAAGTTCAGCAGTGATCACTCAGTTGGAAGCTTTTCTTGAAGCTCATTGGGAAGATCTTTGTGTGTTGGTTCTTTATCAGTGTTTATCTTGCAGGGTTTATGCATGGGAAATACTTTGTTGGTATATTCTAAGCCATTAGTTCTTAATTTGGGGGGCACAAGGACCCCTTTGATAACCTAAGCAAAGTAATCTTGCCCCCTCCATCAACACATTTGCACATATGCACATCCTTTGGAGAGATCCATGGATCACGGAATCCCAAGTTAATATATACTAGTGTAAAACCCTGCAGTGATTATTCTACTTCCAAAAACTAACGATACACTAGATTTGATCATAAAATCTTACTTTAGGGTAAACATTTAATGAGAACTTGCTGGGGTTGCTGAAGGTGATTCATCCGTCGGAAATCCATCTGCAGTTCTGGTGTGTGTTCCAAGCCAGCATACTTTTAAGGCTGAAAGATGGAGAAGGAGAGAAGTGGTTGCAAGAGAATATTTTTAAGTGTTCTTTTTTATCCTGATGCCACGTTAATGTATGATGTTAGAGTTAGTTATTCTTAGTAGTCTGTTTTCTTTTTTGCACTCAAAATGAGAAAGAGGAGATAAGGATTGTTATTTCTATATTTTAGTTAGAGAAACTAAAACAGTATACTTAAGTGACTTGCTCACTTAAGTTACAAGTAAATCTTGGACTAGAACTAAAGTCTCACATCTTGCCCATTGCCTTTTTATTATTATCCTGTTGAACTTGATTACTGGGTTGGTTTTGAGTTAAATTTGATTACACTTCCCAAAAATTGCATAGCGTTGTCCATATCACCAAATATTTATTAGATCTGTGAATTTACAAAAGTTCAGAAGCACTCTTTTTCTCTAGAAGCTTATATTTCAGTAGGAAAATAAGTTGACCATTGTTAGTAAACAAATAGCATTAAGTTGCATATGTAGAGATATGAAAAGAATGAACAAATATCATTTCAGTGTATGGGGTCTAAAAATTAAAGACATGGTTACAGTAAAAGCTTCATCAGAGTCTTTTCAAAAACACTGTAAAGGCTTGGCAGAGGCATTCAAAAGGATGGGGAGGGTTACATAGGTGGAGATGCTCCTGGGCTAGGAAGCAGGGTCAGCAAAGAATGAGGCGAGGCACAGTGGCTCATGCCTATAATCCCAACACCTGGGAGGCCAAGGTGGTCGGGTCGCTTGAGGCCAGGAGTTCTAGACCAGCCTGGGCAACACAGTGATACCCCATCTCTTAAAAAAAAAAAAAAAAAATTTAGCTGAGTGTGGCAGTGCGTGCCTGTAGTCCCAACTACTGGGGAAGCTGAGGTGGGAGGATTGCTTCAGCCCAGGAGTTCAAAGCTGAAATGAGCTATGACTGCACTCTAGTTTGGGCAACAGAGTGAGACCCTATCTCTTAAAAAAAAAAAAAAAAAAAGATAGTAGACATCAGGAGCTACAGGATACATAAAAGTATGAGAGGAGATTATAGAGTTGCAAAAGGGGTCATGACTTCTCTTATCCAGAAAGGGTAGGTGAAAATCACTAGGGAAGTCTAAATTTATAAAACTAGAGGCAAGTTTAGTATTTTCATTTTAGAAGCTGGGACCAGCTATAGATAATTGCTCCCCAGTTCTCTGCTTCTCCAGTATTCTTGCCCTGCCATAATCACCATCATGATTAGCAGTCTGTCATAGTATCCTCAATAGAATCTTTTTGAGATCTATCCCCAGCCCATATTTTTACCTGGAACTGACATCATGCAAATTAAGTATGACAACAACGTTTTAATGCTTTACTTCCCCTGTCCTGCAATAAATTATAATGCTAAATTGTACACATAACCTTTAAAGTCTGTTAAAAGGAAAAAATAAGAGGAGTCAGTCTGTGCCCCTCTAGGAAGTTTTCCTTCTAGGCTTACAGATCTAGGTGTGGATTCATTTGCTGCCAGGCAAGAGGAAAAGCACGATACCTCTGTTACTGTGTTTAGGATGACTCACTGGTTGTGTGGAAGGAAGTCGATTTGACCCGGCTGTCTGAGAAGGAACGTCGTGATGCCTTGAATGAGATTGTTATTCTGGCACTGCTGCAGCACGACAACATTATTGCCTACTACAATCACTTCATGGACAATACCACGCTGCTGATTGAGCTGGAATATTGTAATGGTAAGATAGAGTTCAGTGGGACTTTTCCAGCAAGACTTTCTTAGACTCATAATTACGTTGAGGAGAAGAATATAAGAAGAGACATATACAGTGATAAAAACTTTAAATGAATTTCTAGAGTTTAAGAGAAACTTTTCAGGCCTTGGAGAATTTTTGAAGTGGTGTACGAAATAAGGAGAGGGATTTTCCCCTGCATACCCAAATTTTCTCTTGTGATTACAGTTCCATTTTCAAACTATCTTTTCTTTGGTTGGATTTTACCTTTATTTTTCAAGGTTTTTCTTTATGAAATGACATTAGTTAACCAGAGTGTGGCTTGGCAGCACTTGATACAGTATTTAATAAGATCTTATAGGTGATATTTATTTATATTGTCTTCAGCTAAAGCTATCCTATTGAAAAGTGGTCCAAAGATCATAACTGAGTGAAAGTAATATATAGTAAAGCATGGCCCTATTTATCTGGTCCCTGATTTCTTCACATCATTTTGCTTGTAAGATAGCAATATAGCCTAGTTGTTAAGAAAATAGACTCTAAAACCAAGTTTCTCTACTTTCTAGCTCTATAACCTTGGCAAGAAACTTAACTTCTCTGTGCCTCAGTTTCCTCATTTTATTTTTATTATTATTATTATTTTTTTTGAGATGGAGTTTTACTCTTGTTGGAGTAAAGGCTGGAGTGCAATGGTGCCATCTTGGCTCACCACAACCTCCGCCTCCTGGGTTCAAGCAATTCTCCTGCCTCAGCCTCCCAAGTAGCTGGGATTACAGGCATGCGCCACCACGCCCAGCTAATTTTTGTATTTTTAGTAGAGACAGGGTTTTGCCACGTTGGCCAGACTGGTCTCGAACTCCTGACCTTAGGTGATCCGCCCACCTCCGCCTCCCAAAGTGCTGGGATTACAGGCTTAAGCCACCATGCCCAGCAGTTTTGTCATTTTAAAATGAGTTTGTTGGCCAGGGACAGTGCACACCTGTAATCCCAGCGCTTTGAGAAGCCAAGACAAGCAGATCACTTGAGCATAGGAGTTTGAGGAAAGCCTAGGCAACATAGTGAAACCCTGTCACTACCAAAAATACAAAAAATTAGCTGGGTGGTGTGCACCTGTAGTCACAGCTACTTGGGAGGCTGAGGAGGGAGGATGGCTTGAGACTGGGAGGCAGAGGTTGCAGTGAGCTTGTGAGCTCAGACCGCTGCACTCCAGCCTGGGCGATGGAGCCAGACCCTGTCTCAAAAAAAAAAAAAAAAAAAAAAAAGCTGGGCGTGGTGGCTCACGCCTGTAATCCCAACACTTTGGGAGGATCACAAGGTCAGGAGATCGAGACCATCCTGGCCAACATGGTTAAACCCAGTCTCTACTAAAAATAACAAAAATTAGCTGTGCATGGTGGCGCGTGCCTGTAATCCCAGCTACTCGGGAGGCTGAGGCAGGAGAATCGCTTGAACCAGGGAGTTGGAGGTTGCAGTGAGTGGAGATCATGCCACTGCAGCCTGGTGACAGAGCGAGACTCCATCTCAAAAAAAAAAAGTTTGTTGATAACAGTACCTACTTTCTAGGATTGTTGTATTACATGCATAGTGCTTGGTAGGTAGAAAGTGTTTGCTACATACTGTACTAGCTGTTAATCATCTTATTGCACAGGAGAACCTCCAAAGCCCTTTTCTGAACTGCATGCTAAAGAGGTCCCAGCATATTCGTCACTTACGACTTCCTTGTGTAAACTCTTGTATATTATGATCATTGGTGATCAATGCCATATACAAGATTCTGTTAAAAATTTTCGAAGTAGCAGAAGCCCTAGGTAGTTAACTTCTTTTGTGGTTAGGAAGAACTGGAACAAATGATACATTTATTGAAACTGAGTTATTAAGTTGCAGGGGAAAAGAAGTTGTAAAAACTTACCCAGGGCTAAAGTGTAAGTTATAGTTGCAGGTGGGATGTAAGATGAACCATGATTACTTGCAGTCTGTATTACTTGGTAAAGGAAAGAGAGAAGTAAATTCACACTTATTCCACAGGAAGAAATTAGTAAAGAGAGTAATGATAGGAAACAGTCTAGGGGTAGACCCTAAATTTTGGGAAATATTTCGGTGTGAAGTAGAAAATTTGTCAATATATACCCTATAAATACAAAACATTGCATCACAGGTGTAACCCAATTTTTTTCTTTTTTTCCTGAGATAGACTCTCACTGTCACCCAGCCTGGAGTGCAGTGGTGCGATCCCAGCTCACTGCAACCTCCGCCTCCCAGGCTCAGGCGATCCTCCCACGCTCAGGCGACCCTCCCACCTTAGCCTCCTGATTAGCTGGGACCACAGGCACATGCCCCAACAGCTGGCTAACTTTTTGTATTTTTGGTAGAGACAAGGGTTTTGCCGTGTTGCCCAGGCTGGTCTTAAATTCCCAAACCCAAATGATTTGCCCACCTCAGCCTCCCAAAGTGCTGGGATTATAGGCGTGAGCCAATGTGCCCAGCCTAATCCAGATGTTATAGTAGTCACAACTGGGAGAGTTGTTACAAAAATATTGTAGAGTCCTTAAAGGAGAGTTCTAGAAAAGAAATCTGATTTTGAATATACTTCACTTGTTGGGAACAACAAGAATGGTCTTTACTCACATCTTTTCTAAAAATGTCTTTTTTTTAATTACGCCTCTTGTGTTAGAGAGGGAGATCTTTGAAGAATATTTCTGATGCGGTCCTTGAGAGATGGGAAGAGTTTTGTGCCCATGTGAAAAGTCAAAAGAAGTAGTTGCCTATGGAGAGAAAGCAGAATCCTTCATTTCCTTGTGTCACCTAAAAAAACCTGTTACAGGAGCCAAGCTTTGATCTGTATTAAGCAATTCAAATCTGTGTCTTGTTTAATTGCAGGAGGGAACCTGTATGACAAAATCCTTCGTCAGAAGGACAAGTTGTTTGAGGAAGAGGTAATTCATATTTCTGTGGAAGGAAGTTAGAATTGTAGTGTTGTAATTCTTGCATTCTAGTTCTGTATTTACTCTTCCAATAGTGAAGAGTGTTTTTTTCCTTTTGTTCAGACTCCTTCCAGGCTCTGATATTCATGAGAAAGGAAACCTCTAACAAGGAAGCTGTCTATAGCTGCTTCCTAAACGTTTTACCTCCACATCATGATTCTCTGTGGGCTTTCTTTCCTGGTTCTATTACTGCGTACTGGTATGCCCAGTTTTCTATAACTTTGCATTCTTCCTGAATTTTCCTACATGTCTGCTTTACCATACTATATATTATAATGACATTGGAACTATTTTATGAGGAACCTGTTTTTTGTGGTTTTTTACCCCTTCACTTTTCTTTGCCTACTCAACCTGCAAGGAAGAGATGTCAAGTCATGTTGAATCATAACTTCTGGTTGCAGTTTTCTTTGTTTTGTTTGTTTATGTGTGTGTGTATTTACTTAAATGGAGCTTTTTGTTTCTAATCCAAATATTTATTTTTTCTCTGCAGATGGTGGTGTGGTACCTATTTCAGATTGTTTCAGCAGTGAGCTGCATCCATAAAGCTGGAATCCTTCATAGGTAAGAAGTAAAAAAAATTATGGATGGATTCTTCCCTACCAATTCAGCCCCTACCGTGGATACCCCCCCAACAACACTTTTATTTTCTTGGTTAAGCAGCCAAGAGTTTTTCCATTGATATCACTAGGAAAGGAAAGTAATGAGCAATATTATTTTCACTCCCTGAGGTTAAACCATGTTTATGATCTAGGAAGAGTCTCCTCAGTAGCCAAGTACTACTGAAGTCATTTTACAGACAAAAATTTTAGAGTTCAGTTTGTTAATTCATCAGTAAAGCCTAGAAGGGCACTATGAGAAGTAGTATTTGGTAAGAATTCACAGCAATAATAATTGGCAATTCTTTTTAATTCTATAATTAAGATCTTTTAATTTAAATAAAAGCCTCTTCACTCTGTATATTTACTTGTACAAATTTACCAGATCTTTAAAAACAAGCATGATTGCATTCATTTCTAGCTATAGAAGAGAAGCATCTCAATAACATTTTCACATCATTATGCCCTTCTTAAGTGAGTCATTGACTGGTGCCAGAGATTAATTATAATACACTAAGATTTCTTTTTTTATTGGTTTGTTCATTCAGTTAACATGTATTTCTTGATAGCTATTAAATGGCTTCTGTTGCATGTTGTTATTTTCTTTTTAAAAGTAACAAAGTATATTGTTCTGGTTTATTCGCATCTTTCAATAAAGGAAGACATAGTGAACCAGGCACAGTTATTTTGTTTTACATATGGTCAATTTATCTTTAGAAAAATAGCCTGTGATTTTATTTAGATGACTAAATGGCCTAATCATATCATTGCAGGGACATGTAGGCCTCTTCTCTTGCCTTAACAGATTATTTGAAACTTTGACACCAACCAAGTTTGTTAAAGTTGCCTTGATATCACTTAATTCAAGGCATAAGTGATAGTTGAAGAGGTGTGGTATCTTATGGGAATTATGGTTACCTAGAGCACCATTTTCCTCATCTGACCGTCTCAACTTTTCCTAATAGCTTCAGTAGTATGGGAGATATTTCTATGCTGTGAAGCCCTAGAGGATGAAGTTAATTCTCTGCCTTCACTCCTTTAAAGTCCCCACTTCAGTGTTAAATAGCATGTGAAAGTGATGACCACTGTGGGATGTTTAGGATATCCTAAATGAATGAGCAATGGTAACACTCTTTTTTTGTTTTATTTTGTTTTAGTTTTTGAGACAGGGTCTCACCCTGTTGCCCAGGCTGGAATGTAGTGGTGCAATCATGACTCACTGCAGCCTCAGCCTCCTGGGCTCAACTGATTCTCGGTGCTTTAACCTCCCGAGAAGCTAGGACTACAAGTGTATGCCACCACTCCTGACTAATTTATTTTTTGTAGAGATGGGGTCTCACCATGTTGCCCAGGCTGGTGAAGAACTCCTGGCCTCAAGCAGTACTCCTGCCTTGCCCTCCCAAAGTGCTGAGATTACAGATGTGAGCCACTGTACCCGGCCCACACTCATTTTTATTCTGTAATAATCCTGGGCAAGGCGGGGGATGAAATAAAACAATTATCTGTGTGAACTTAATTTGCAGCATCTTTTTTTTTCAGAGATATAAAGACATTAAATATTTTTCTGACCAAGGCAAACCTGATAAAACTTGGAGATTATGGCCTAGCAAAGAAACTTAATTCTGAGTATTCCATGGCTGAGACGGTATGTGTTGCCCTTGTCTTAATTTTTATTTTATTTTCTAGCACTGTGAAATATAACTGTACTCCCTAAATCTTGCATACTTTTCTCAATATTCTTGCAAGTTCTCCATACTTTTAATGCATGTCTTCAGAAGTCTTTTTCCTGGGCCCACTAGCAGGCATTTAAGTCATTGCCCACGTTACAGCTCTGACCTCATAGCCTTTTTCCAGCACTGATTAGGGACTTATCTAAAAGCAGCAAAATGCTTTACTGTTTTGTCCAGGTTAGGATCTTTAGTAGATTTCACTTTATCTCTTATTTAATGTTTGAGCTCAAGGTGTTAGACATCTCTTTGTTTTTCCTTTGAATGCTTCTGGTTCAAAGAGAACCCTATATTTCAAGTGAAGGCTGATGCTCAGAGAACAATCCATTCTTTAATATTATACACAGTCTGAACTGCACAGGGGTCCCTTCTCACATGATTTTGAGAAAGATCATTGGTAAAGAGTAGACATAAGTTGATCTTTAGGACAGTAATCTTATCCTTTTAGGAATTATAAAACCCAGTTGTTATTCTTCTAGTTTCACAATGCTCTGTCCTTAAAAGAAATTGAAAACTGATTTTGGCCAATAATTTTTTTTTTAATAATGTCAAGGTTTGCCTGCAAGCAATTTAGATGTTTAGGGTTTGGAGTCTCTGCTTCAGGGACTCAGATGTTTCTATGATGGAGGCCAAAGTGAGCTTCTGAAGAAGCAATCATATCTTTATATGGATTTTTCTCATCAAGAACAATCTGATAAAACCAAGACTTGACTTTTTTTAGCTAGTTAAATGCAAAGAAGGAATGATATGAAAATTTATAAAAGCCATGTAAGCCATCTGAAATTTGCTTTGCTTTGCTGCTTAAAGCTGACTATGAATTTTATTAGAGCTGCTAGGGCATTCATTATATCTCATCTTGGGAGAGGCATGACTTCTTAGGACATTTTTATTTCCAAATTTATTTTTGAAGTCAGAAAATCTTTTTCAAATTCAAAGGAAATTCGCTAGCTGTGTTAGTATAACAGATGCCAAATTGGGCATTTTAAAAGTTTCATTGCGCGTATTTTAGTTAGAACATCTAATTCCTTCATTGAGTTACCATCTCCCCACTGCCAGTGTTTGGATTTTTTTCCCATTGGTGAACTTCTACTAAGTATGTCTTTAAGTTTGTGTAAAGTCTTCAGTAGGCCTTGAATGCCTGAAGCCTCTGTGATCTAGGAATCACAGAGCTATTGAGCCCCTCAAGTTACCACAGTTCCTTTGTCACAGAGATTGTCCCTTTATAATTGACCCAAGAGGTTTGATATGAATAAGATTTCTTTCCATAGTGGCATCGTCTCATAAAAACCATTTTGGAATCTGCTGATGAATGTTTTATGGTTGTTATGACTAGTTCCTAGGAAATTTAATTAAGCTGTTGAAATGTTAACATAGTTACCTCAGAAAAGAAGTTATTCTTTGATTGTTTCTTTGTTGCTCAGCTTGTGGGAACCCCATATTACATGTCTCCAGAGCTCTGTCAAGGAGTAAAGTACAATTTCAAGTCTGATATCTGGGCAGTTGGCTGCGTCATTTTTGAACTGCTTACCTTAAAGAGGACGTTTGATGCTACAGTAAGTTGGCATATTATCCCCATATTGCATTTAGCAGGTTGCAAATGGTACAGCTTGACTAAGCAGATCAACTCTATTCCCAGGCTTCTGATTTCTGGCAAAAATAACCTGTATTCAGGTACAAGATTAGTAATCTATTACTAAAATGCTATAGACCCAGCCAGGCGCAGTGGCTCACGCCTGTAATCCCAGCATTTTGGGAGGCCGAGGTGGGTGGATCACTTGAGGTCACCCCGGCCAACATGGTGAAACCCCGTCTCCATTAGAAATACAAAACTCAGCCGGGTGTGGTGGCGCACACCTGTAATCCCAGCTATTTGAGAGGCTGAGGCACAAAAATTGCTTGAACCCAGGAGGTGGAGGTTGCAGTGAGCCAAGATCATGCCACTGCACTCCAGCCTGGGCAACAGAGCAAGACTCTGTCTCAAAAAAATCTCCAACTTGAATTCCCTGTTGAAATGATCACTTGAACCCGGGAAGTGGAGACTGCAGTAAGCCAAGATCGCACCACTGTACTCCAGCCTGGGCAACAGAGCAAGACCCTGTCTCAAAAAAAAATTAAAATTAAATTAAATTTAAAAGTTCATCTCTTAAAAGCAAAAAATGGAATATGATGGTTCACTTTTTCAAGCAGTAGGAATTGGAACATTATTAACAGCAGCCAGATGATCATGCAGCTACTGCATCACTTTCCTAGAAACGTGTAAAAGAATGCAAATCTAGTGAACAGAATGGAAGGGAGCAAAAGATAATTGTTTTATTTGGGTCTCACTCTGTTGCCCAGGCCTGGAGTGCAGTGTCGTGATCATAGCTCACTGCAGTCTCAAACTCCTGTGCTCCAGCAGTCATCCCGCCTCAGTCTCCTGAGTAGTTCGAACTACAGGCATGCCTCACCACACCTGGCTATTTTTTGTAGAGATGGGTTCTCACTATGTTACCCAAGCTTGTTTCAAAATCCTGGCCTCAAGTGATCCTCCTGCCTTGGCCTGTGCTAGGATTACAGGTATGAGCCCCCATGCCCAGCATATTTATGCCTTTTTCTAAATTGTTACTTCTTTGTGCCTTTATTCTATCTTGTAAACACTTCTGACATAGCACCAGTATCACTTTATTGTACTTACTTTTTTTATATAGCTGTGGTTTTGCCAGGTAGTCTAAAACCCTTCCAAATGTTTGCTTTATTTTCTGCAATACCTAACACATCGTGGGTGTTAAAAATATTCATTAACTAGGAAAAAAATGTTTATCTGTTAAAAAATAAATAAAGATTGTCATTGCTTTATGGACAATGAATCCCTTTAAGTCTTTTTTTCTTTTTTTAAGTAAATTAAAGTACAACCTGATATAAAGCAGTGCTTCTCAAACTTTAATATGCATACAAAATCATCTTGTTGAAATGCAGATTTTTTTGGGGGGTGGGGTTGATAGTCTGTGTTTCTAACAAGCTCCCAAGTGATGCTGATGCTGCTGGTCCATGGAGCACACTGAGGGGCTAAAGTGGATTCATATCCAGTTGCCTCTACCAACCAGGTGTGAGAATTTAGGCAAATCACTTCATCTCTTTGATCCTCTGTTTCATTATCTATAACATGGTAACAATATATATTCCCCACACGGAGATTCTCTCATAATGTATATGAAAAATGCAAATGTAAGATAATGCAAATTCATTGCCCTTTCATAAGACCTATTCATTTTTCTAAATCCTGAAGGTTGTTCTAGTATATCATCTAATTCTCCTAAATAGTATGGTGGAAGAAAAATGACTTGGAGTCAGAGGCTGGGCGCGGTGGCTCATGCCTGTGATCCCAGCACTTTGGGAGGCTGAGGCGGACAGATCACCTGAGGTCAGGAGTTCGAGACCAGCCTGGCCAACATGGTGAAACCCTGTCTCTACTAAAAAATACAAAAATTATCCAGGCATGGTGGCGCATGCCCGTAATCCCAGCTACTCAGGAGGCTGAGGCACAAGCATCACTTGAACCCAGGAGACAGAGGTTGTAGTGAGTGGAGATCGTGTCACTGCACTCCAGCCTGGGTGACAGAGTGAGACTCTGTCTTAAGAAATGTGTGTGTGTGTACGCACACACGTGTGCATATATGTACACACACGTGTATATATGTGCACACACGTGTGTGTACATGTACACATGCACATATACATATATACACATATATGTGTGTGTATATGTATGTGTGTATATATGTGTATATATGTATATGACTTGGAGTCAGGCTTTGGTTGGAATTATAGCTCCATTTTTACTATCTGTGATTTTGGGCAAGTTACTTTACATCTCTGAGCCCCATTTTTCTCATATATAAATTGATAATGATAATAATTTCCTTGAATGGTGTTAGTGAGGCTAAAAAATATCATATATGTAATGTGCCTGTCTAGTTTGTAGTAGTCTCTCAATAATGTGGTGGTGGTATTACCATAATATTGTTAGTATTATCATCTTATTATTATTACTGCCTTATCTGTTGCAGCAGAGTATTGCCTGTACAGCCACAATTAGGATATATAAATTAGGACGCAAGTTAGTTGGCAAGGGAACTACATGAAGCCAACAAGGATGGCTAATCTTGCTTTCCTTTTTCTTGGGATTCAGTTGAAAGGTCAGATTATAATATACTCTGAGCATCATATTATTGGCCACATAGTTATAGATTGTATGGCCAGTTGGCTTCATTCTGTCTGATAGCATCAGTGCATCCCTAACCATTTTTTTTTGATGCATACTAGTAGTTATAACAAGAAGTCAGACCTATTGCCAATTCTTTAAATAATGGTCACAGACACCTGAGAGCCCCTACCAGTAGAGTATAGCATCATCTTTATATAACCAGGAACAATGCAGTCATCATTTTCTCATAGAACCCACTTAACCTGTGTGTGAAGATCGTGCAAGGAATTCGGGCCATGGAAGTTGACTCTAGCCAGTACTCTTTGGAATTGATCCAAATGGTTCATTCGTGCCTTGACCAGGTAGGTGTGACTTAAACATTCACTTCAGTTTCGTATTTCCCCTTCCAGCCTCAGTGTTTGGTGTATGGCATAGCTATAAACCATACAAAACCACATCCACTTCCCCAGGGTAGAGTGTATTTGTGGCTATACCCAGAATAGGTATTGGTAATTCATTATAGTTGTGTGCTTCAGTGAACAAATTCTTACTTCATTCTGTTTTGTAAGTGTTAGTTTGTGAAATGAATTTCCCATCTAAATTGTGCTCGATTTTTTATGACCAAGAGTAATTTCTGAATATAGATTTCAAAAAACTGCAATGAAAGATAATTTACCACTTCTAATACAGAATGTCTGTATTTCTCATATCTCATGGTTCCCTTGCTGTGTAGTTCTAGTATTATTCAAAGTATGTTTCATGAAACACTGGAGTCAGAATCACCAGGGAATGGGGGAGTTTTGTAAGTAAAAAGAAGATTCCTGGGCCCCACCCCAGACGAACTCAATCAGAATCTCTGTGGATAAAGCCCAGAAATCTTTATTTGTAACAAACACCTCAGGTAATTCTTCTGTTCTGTATATATTGAGGTTCAAGAGCCACTGCCCTAACTGAACAAGTGAGGAAGATGCATTATAAACATTCTCCTTCATGTACAAGTGTTGATTATAATGAGGTGAGAAGCATAAAATATGGAGTATCACATAAGAAATGATTTTTAAAACAAAAGGATAATGCAGTGGTCTTTGACTAATTAACATCTTTAGATCCGATGTCGCCCATTTCCATTAAGTGAAAACTAACCCTATTTTTACTTTTTAGGATCCTGAGCAGAGACCTACTGCAGATGAACTTCTAGATCGCCCTCTTCTCAGGAAACGCAGGAGGTAAATTATGAAGAAGTCACTCCATTGTCTTTTCTGAGATAGTTGACTTTTAGAGGCTTGATCAGAGTACTAAAAGAAAGAGTAGTGTTTCCTGACTTGGTTGCAATAGTGCTATTTTCTACCAACATCCCTGCTTTTATTGCTTAGGGGTGGCATCTGACTTTTGCCTCCTTAGCCTGTGCTGTTTTGTTGTAAATTTGTACTAATGAGGCCCAAGAGCCCTTCACTCCCCAACCCATTGGTTTTAAACCTTAGAGTTGAGGCATTAGAGTGCAGTAAGGAAGAGGGGTGTCTGGACTCAGACATCCTTATGTTTGTATCTGAATTTTGTCATTATCTTTGTCAAGTTATTTAACATCGTTATTTCTTGGCTTTCTCCTCTATAAAGTAAGATGAGGTCAGGATTAAAGAAGATAACGCATAAAAAGTGGTCAGCCCAGGGCCTGGCATAGGGTGCCTATCAATTGTAGTGTGAGTTGGACTGGTCCTTTGGTTTTTTTGTTTTTTGTTTGTTTTCTGAGACAGAGTCTCACTCTGTCACCCAGGCTAGAGTGCAGTGGCACAGTCCTAGCTCACTGCAGCCTTGAACTTCTGCTGCAAGTGATTCTCACACCTCAGCCTCCCAGGTAGCTAGGACTACAGGTGTGCACCATCATGCCTGGCTAATTTTTCTATTTTTATAGAGACGGGGTCTCACTGTGTTGCCCAGGCTGATCTCAAAGCTGTTGCCTAAGCAATCCTCCTGCCTCAGCCTCCCAAAGTGTTGGGATTACAGGCATGAGACACTATGCCCAGCCTGAGCCTTTGTTTTTCACTGCATTTGTTTAGGTGGTAGGTTGGAGTTGGAGGAATCCTCTTCAGGTACATTTTGCCCATATTTGAAGTCGAGTTTTATTGACTCCTCAGAGGTTATTTCCTGAGATTATTCTGTCAGATATCTTTAGAGATAGGAAGAACATCCTTTATCCCTCTGTTCCTCTAGGAGGTTTCATACCTTAATTTAAAACATTTATCTTCGTTAAATATTTGAGTCTGTATTTCATCCTATTACACTATTTTTGCCTTGCTACGCTTCTTCCTCCACTACCAGTTTTTTGTTTTTATATCTTCCAAATATTCACATACAATGCTCTTTTCAAGTCTTGCTCTTGGATACATTCTGTACATCCCTAATTGCATATTTGCTGTTTCATCAGTACTTTTATTCTACTATGCCATTTAATTAATCTTTTCTGGTTCTTCTCTAGTTGGTCTGTAGCCAGTGTTTTAGTGCCTGAAATTATGTACAGTACTCCAGATACAGCACCATGACCTTCCATTTATGTTTTGTGCACGTGCAGGCAGTATCACCCTTTTGGTCTGGTGAAGCATATTTAAAATTTTTGTCTGGCTTATTTCACAGCAATATAATGATTTATTTTATTTTATTTTATTTACTTTTATTTACTTTATGAGAGTCTCACTCTGTTGCCCAGGCTGGAGTGCAGTGGCGTAGTCTCAGCTCACTGTAACCTCCACCTGCCAGGTTTAAGCAGTTCTCCTGCCTTAGCCTCTCGGGTAGCTGGGACTACAGGCAGGCGCCACCACGCCTGGCTAGTTTTTGTATTTTTAGTAGAGACAAGGTTTTACTACGTTGGCCAGGCTAGTCTCGAACTCCTGACCTCAGGTGATCTGCCTGCATCGGCCTCCCAAAGTACTGGGATTACAGGCATGAGCCACCACACACGGCATAATCACTATTTTAAGTCACTATTTTAATCTCTTATTTCTTGAGTGTAGGCATGAAATTTTTACTGAGATAATTATAGATTTGCCTGCAATACTTTGTTGGAACTTTGTACTTTGATGGAAAACATAAGACAGAGTTTTCCAGACAGAGAATATAGCATAAACAAAATCATAGACACAGGAAGTTGTGGAAAATATTCAGGAAACACAAAATTCTATTTGGCTAGATTAGTGGTTCTAGACCTGGGATTTTTGATGCAAAATATCAGGAGCTTTCAAAAAGTACTGATGCCTGAGCACTACTCTAGGAGCTCAGCTATAATTGATTTAGGTAGGATGACAGCCCTGGGCTAGAACGTGGGGTGCAAACAAAAGGAAGGAAGTCTGGAAAAATAGGTAGGAAATCTTGCATGCCAGGCCAAGAAAATTGTGGTTAATTCAAGAGGTAGTGCAAAAGATAGAGTGGGTATCACATCCACTGTTGAGAGATGGTGGATGTTTGCGAGAGGGCAGTTCACGTGATGAGAGGCATACCTAAGGAAGAGTTATTTGGCAATATTAGTATCTGTGTTAAATTAGTATAGTAAAATGATTAAGACTGTAGTAAGTGAGGCTGATTAGGAGGTATTATCACAGTACAGGTGGGAAGTAGAGCTACCCAGAACTAAGGTGGTGAGACTGGAAAGGAAGAGGTGAGTACAAAAAGTACTATATAGGTAGAATCTGTAGAACCTGAATATTAAAGAAAGGGAGAGAGATGAATCAGAGATGACTGAGGTTTTAAGCCCAGTTGACTGGGAGAATTGGGGAAGGGTGTTGCGGCTAGTTACAGAAATAGAGGAGTCAGAAAGAAAAGCTCATTTGGGAAAAAGCTAACAAGCTCATATTTGGAGATACTGAGTTTGGGAGTCAGTGGGCAGACTAGATGAAGGTGTCCATCAGATACTAAATATGTACATCAGAGGTTCTCAAGGCTCTCTGTTCCAGCCTGGACCATTTCTCAGAGACAGAAAGCAAATGGCCCCAAACTGCTGGCCTTTGGGTATTTAATGAATTGTCTAATGAAAGGACTATATAACTGTTTTGAGTTGTATTGAGGTACTTTGCTAAAAGTATTGTGATGTTGTAGGATGCATACAGTTTATAAGAGGATTAAATCTGTGAAATGTATTAAACAGACACCTTTGCAATATAAAAACCTATTATTTCACTCATGTATCTTTGCTTTTCTTTTGGTAGAGAGATGGAGGAAAAAGTCACTCTGCTTAATGCACCTACAAAGAGACCAAGGTAATGTTCAAGAGACTCTTAAAAACTAATATATCCGAAATTACAACCAGGGGGTTCTTTCTTGAGTGTAGGCATTATTTGATCCGAGGATACTTTGGCATCCTTTCAGGAGCCAGCATCTGCTTAAATGTCAGACAGTCATTTCTAAGAAGAAAGCTATAATTTCACCCTCACACTAAAGTGGCCATCATTACCATGATGAATGTGGAAAAGTGTAGGTGTTATGGGTCAGACTGGAATCTGATCTGGCCAAGCTGTGATGAAGCCCTGAGGCAGGAATTGCAAAGTCTGCTGTGATAGAGCACATTGAAACAAGTTGTCGAGAAAGAACATACTTTCTCATACCATAATTGGCAGTTCTTCTCAGGGAACAGACTGGAAGCATTTTTCTTTGATATTGTTTTTAATGTTAAATGTTCCTTTGTTCTGGGGGTTGTTGGCAGGTCAAGCACTGTGACTGAAGCACCCATTGCTGTAGTAACATCACGAACCAGTGAAGTCTATGTTTGGGGTGGTGGAAAATCCACCCCCCAGAAACTGGATGTTATCAAGAGTGGCTGTAGTGCCCGGCAGGTCTGTGCAGGGAATACCCACTTTGCTGTGGTCACAGTGGAGAAGGAACTGTACACTTGGGTGGTAAGTGAACGCTAAGCATTTTGGAACAGTGCTGTAAGCCTAATTGTTTACTGGGCCCACGATGTCTAAGCATTTTATTAGTTGAACCTATACTAAGGGAGTGGCAACATGGGGTGATGGAATGGAAGCTCTTATAAGAGCAGGGATTTTGTCTGTTTAGTTCACTGATGTATGCCCAGGGCTGGTACATATTAGGTCACCTATAAATGTTTTTTGAATGAATGAATGAGAGAGGGAGAGAAAAATTGAAAGACTCAGGAGACTGGGGTTTCCCATTTACAGCTGGATGATTTCAGACAAGTCACTCAATTACTCTGTTATATTACCATGAGGTTCAGAGCAACTATTACCTGTGAAATAGCTTTGTAAACAAAGGAAGGACTATACCATGTCAGGAAACCCCTGAAGCCCACAGCAGTGATTGAAGATGGCTAGGTATATTTTGTGTAGAATTTGTTTGTTGCCCTCTAGATTCTCCCCTCTCACCTTCCTTAACAAATTGTCTGTGTTTGCTGTCTGTTTCCTTATCTCCCACTCTCTCTTCATTCACCTACAATGCAGCTTCCATCTCTGCCACTGCCACTCAATTGAAACTAGTCTTGACAAAATGACCCATAAATTGCTAAAATAAAACAGATGCTTTTTAGTCCTTACCTAGCTTGACCTCTCGGCAGCATTTGACATAGTTGACCACTCCCTCCTTCTTGAAGCTTTGTCTTTACTTGCCTTCTGTGATAGCATGTTCTCTTGGCTTTCCTCCTGTCTCTTGCTATGCGTTCTCAGGCTCATTTCAGGCTGCTGGAGAGAAATTAGTATCTTAAACATTTATTGGCTGGGCGTAGTGGCTCACAACTGAAGTCTCAGCACTTCGGGAGGCCAAGGCGAGTGGATTGTTTGAGGCCAGGAGTTTGAGACCAGCCTGGCAAACATGACAAAACCCCATCTCTACTAAAAATACAAAAGTTAGCTGAGAGTGGTGGCGCATGCCTGTGATTCCAGCTACTCAGGAGGCTGAGGCATGAGAATCACTTGAGCCTGGGAGGTGGAGATTGCAATGAACCAAGATTGCACCACTGCACTGCAGCCTGAGTGACAGAGCAAGACCTTGTCTCAAAAAAAAAAATATATATATATACTGTCACACACACACACACACACACACACACACACGCACACGCACACACATATATATATAAAATATGAGGACTTGTAGTATACTCATTTAATAGAATTATTTTTCTCTATAAAACTGTTGAAAAGGCCAGACATGGTGGCTTACACCTGTAATCTCAAAACTTTGGGAGGCCGAGGCGAGTGGATCACCTGAGGTCAGGAGTTCGAGACCAGCCTGGCCAACATGGCAAAACCCCATCTTTACTAAACATACAAAAAATTAGCCAGGCGTGGTGGCGGGCACCTGTAATCCCTGCTACTTGGGAGGCTGAGGCAGGAGAATCGCTTGAACCCAGGAGGCAGAGCTTGCAGTGAGCTGAGATCGAGCCACTGCGCTCCAGCCTGGGTGACAAGAGCGAAACTCTGTCTCAAAAAAAAAAAAAAAAGTTGAAAAGTCATCAAGGACTAGTCTCATTGCTGTATAGCAGCCTCTTTGATGTAGCCAGATTCTTTATAACTCTTCCATGTTTCAGGGAAACTGTGACCAAAATTTATGAAACTTCTAGTACAGATTTTCAAGAAGCTATATTCCTGTAGAAAGCAACAAAGTTAGACTATATTATAAAGAATTTTTTTCACCATCACCTGTAATTAAATATATAGTTTACCTTAGACTTGAAGGACAAAGATTAGATTAATGGATATTAATCTGGATACTTTTTAAGTTTTCTTTACCTGTTGGCAGGATCTGTATACTACTTGCTATTAAAATGTTTAATCCCTTTGCCCATTTTTTTCTAATTTCTAAATTTCTAGCTCTTTTTTTCTACTGTTTTTCTTCATATGAAGTTCCATTAAAGATCAGCTTTTGGCATGAAAAATTAAAACTTCATAAGACCTCTCAGCCGGGGATGGTGGTTCATGTCTACAATCCCAGCACTTTGGGAAGCCGAGGCAGGAGGATCACTTGAGCCCAGGAGTTCAAGACCAGCTTGGGCAACATAGCGAGAACCCATCTCTTTAAAATTTAAGTTTAATAAAATGTAATTAAAAAAAAAAGTCATAAGACCTCTTTATTTCACAGAACATGCAAGGAGGCACTAAACTCCATGGTCAGCTGGGCCATGGAGACAAAGCCTCCTATCGACAGCCAAAGCATGTGGAAAAGTTGCAAGGCAAAGCTATCCGTCAGGTGTCATGTGGTGATGATTTCACTGTCTGTGTGACTGGTAAGCCATCAGCAGAAAGTGTCTTAAGTGCATTTAATGTGGGGGTATTTTGCTTAATGCTGTGCAATCTTAGTTGGGATTTTAAAACAAAAGACAGTATACAAAGAACCAGAGGACCTTGAGCAAATATACTCATTAATAATAACATACCAAATTTGCTATAGTATTAGGGGGTGGTGAGCAAGGAGAAGACAGGTGGGTAACAGAGAAGAGGTGGGATCAGGAGAAAATGTGTGTCGTGGTTGGCAGGAAAAATAATCTTACCACCTCATCAGGCTATGAATAACACAAAATTAGGATCAAGACCTAAGTTTAGTTTTGGTCTTGTCATTACTTAGTTAATGATTCCTTGGGACTTATTTTTTTATCTATATAACAAAGATGGCCCCATTAAAATTTTAAGTCCTTTTAATGTGATAATGCTACCACTTTTTAAATTGTTTAATATAGTAGTAGTAGTACACATGACTCTCTGACATAGAACTCTAGACTTGCACAGTCTGTCCTTTTAATTTCTTGGATATAATCAATTCATGTGAGATCATTTGCTGGGGTAGTCCTCATTCCAGCCCTGCCCAACTTTCTGATTAGATAAAATAAGTCAGTCCTTTGATGGATTCTGTTTTCCTTTCTTTTGCAGATGAGGGTCAGCTCTATGCCTTCGGATCAGATTATTATGGCTGCATGGGGGTGGACAAAGTTGCTGGCCCTGAAGTGCTAGAACCCATGCAGCTGAACTTCTTCCTCAGCAATCCAGTGGAGCAGGTCTCCTGTGGAGATAATCATGTGGTGGTTCTGACACGAAACAAGGAAGTCTATTCTTGGGGCTGTGGCGAATATGGTAGGGGTAGCCTTGTCTCTGTCCACTTCTTCACAGGTATACAACCTGACTTCAAAGTTGTATGCATCTAAACCCATCATGCAGCCCCTAAATGAGAAGTGTTAATTCAGTAAATCTTTTTTTTTTTTTTTTTTTTTTTTCTCGAGACAGAGTCTCTCTCTGTCACCCAGGCTGGAGTGCAATGGCATGATCTGGGCTCATTGCAACCACCACCTCCCGAGTTCGAGTGATTCTCCTGCCTCAGCCTCCCGAGTAGCTGGGATTACAGGCACACACCATCACACCCAGCTAATTTTTTGTATTTTTAGTAGAGATGGGGTTTCACCACACTGGCCAGGCTTGTCTCGCTCGAACTTCTGACCTCATGATCCACCTGCCTCGGCCTCCCAAAGTGCTGGGATTACAGGTGTGAGCCACCGCACCTGGCAAAAGAGAATCTTACAGAACCTATTCACTGGGAAGGAAGCCCTCATTATAATGATTTTCATTCTTATGTGTGTTTCAGGACGACTGGGTTTGGATTCAGAAGAGGATTATTATACACCACAAAAGGTAAAATCAGAAGCAACTTATTTCTAAAACCTATCTTAAGTCGCACAGACTCCAATAATATGTCCTCTTTCCTTGGCTCTGTTGTATCAAGGTATTTATTTCCGAAGTGTTTCCTGTTTGGGAGACTGACAATTTAGGATTCCTGATTTAGCACCCTGTGGTCTTGTCATCTGACCAAATCACAGAAAATTGAGAAAGTGGATACAGCGACTGTGGACATTGTGAAGTCACATCTTACTCAGGGATGACAGCTAAAATCAGCGTGTACAGCAGAAAAGTCACATATAGCTACAAATACCCTGGAAAACTCGAGAAGATACTGTAAAGCAGTATACTGTCTCTTAACCCAACACAGCCATTTTCCTCTCCTGTTTCTACAGTTGACCACCAGATGAAATATTAATAGTTGTTTTTGTTTAGCGGTCATGTTGCATGAAACATATTATCTAATTACTCTCAGCCTTGCCAGAGCTGGCCCTGTGAGAGGCTCACAGAGGCTGATACCAGCTGGGGGAAAAGCACAGTCACATCTCTCCCACCTACCCTAGGGCACAGGCTTACCCATTGGAGGGTTGGCTAAATCAGCTATACCATTTATTGTTAGCAGTGTTTTGGGTTTTCTGTTTTCTTTTTTTTTTTTCTTTCCTTGGGAACTTTTAGCCAAACCAGTTTTTATTTATATTTTAAAAATTAAATTATTATGCATTTCTAGGGACCATCCTCAATGGGATTCCCAGCTGTTCCTTTTCTCCTGGAAAGGCTGTGGCAGAAACTGAGGGTTGAGGTTTCAGGTTTTACACACATCCATTGTGACCCCACACATGCATCACCCCACCTTCTCCAGTCCTGTCTAGTTAGCTGTAAAAAGATATGAGCATTTGGAAGTCCTAGATATTACCTCAGTACTCTGTCACCTCTCCTATAAAATGACCAGATTGGGACCCCACAGGGCTACTGAATTTCTGTAACTGTCAAGCAGCCTTCCATCTCAAAGGACAAAATCAGCAATGAATTGAAGCTTCTTTCTCAACTTTTTGACAGGTCACCCTAAGTAGGACCTATTACTAAGACAAACTGAGAGGGTGCTGTCTTGTTTAGTTGACCTGGAACTGTCACCTTTTCTTTGATATTGTAAAACTTGAGCTCTTCGTTGACAACAGTAGCCTTGACCGAGCACAATGGCTCACGCCTGTAATCCCAGCACTTTGGGAGGCCGAGGCGGGCAAATCACTTGAGGTCAGGAGTTCGAGACCAGCCTGGCCAACATGGTGAAACCCTGTCTCTACTAAAAACACAAAAATTAACTGGGCATGGTGGCACACGCCTTTAATCCCAGCTACTCAAGAGGCTGAGGCAGGAGAATCGCTTTGAACCTGGGAGGCAGAGGTTGCAGTGTGCTGAGATCATACCACTGCATTCCAGCCTGGGCGACAGAGCAAGACTCCACCTCAAAAAAAAAAAGAAGAAAAGAAAATAGTAGTCTCAGCCAGGCGTGATGGCTCACACCTGTAATCCCAGCACTTTGGGAGGCCAAGGTGGGTAGATCACCTGAGGTCAGGAGTTCGAGACCAGCCTGGCCTACGTGGCAAAACCTCATCTCTAATAAAAATACAAAAATTAGCTGGGCGTGGTGGCATGCACCTGTCATCCCAGCTATTTGGGAGGCTGAGACAGGAGAAGTCGCTTGAACCTGGGAGGCAGAGATTGCGGTGAGCTAAGATCGCACGACTTCACTCCAGCCTGGGCAAAAGAGGGAAACTCTATCTCAAAAAAAAAAAAAAAGAAAAAGTAGTCTCTAAGACACTGGGCAAACCTGAAAAGAATAGAGCAGTCCTCACTTTCCTGTAGTCATTCTGCTAAATGCAGCATGTCTCTTTTGAAAGAATTTGAGAGCTTTTTTTCTAATACGAATTATATATTTGGGATTTCTTTTTCTGATTTTTTTCTTGCAGGTGGATGTTCCCAAGGCCTTGATTATTGTTGCAGTTCAATGTGGCTGTGATGGGACATTTCTGTTGACCCAGTCAGGCAAAGTGCTGGCCTGTGGACTCAATGAATTCAATAAGCTGGGTCTGAATCAGTGCATGTCGGGAATTATCAACCATGAAGTGAGTGTCCTGATTGGTGTTCTAACCACATCATCAGAATTTCTCTAGGTTGGAATTTCTTTGAGATGCCATTATTGGTTAGTGACCATGGAATTTGACTTTAGTTATGGTCTCATAGGCATTGTGTGCAGAAAAAGAAGCCAGCCACAAAGAGTACATGCTATATAGCTCTATCTGTGTAAAATTTAAGAACAGGCAAAATTAACTTATACTGGCAGAAATCAAAACTGTGGCTACTTATTGAAGGAGGGGTATTAACAGAAGAGGTGGAAGGGATCCTAGAGTAATGGGAATGGTCTATATCTTGATCTGTAATGGTTTTACCAGTATATGTATATAGAAAAATGTGTCAAGCTGTGTGATATTTTGCAGTGTGTTATACTTCAACAAATAAATTGATTACAAAGAATAAAATGATGAAATTCAGCTTTTACCTTATTGAAATAGGAACAAGCAAATTAATGTTATAAAAAAAAACATATTTCCATGCATCACCTTCCTGGAGTTTTTTTGATTGATTGGAGTTTTTTAGATTTCTCCCAAATCACTGATCCTGTTTAGGCTTATCGAATGTAATTACCATTCTGTCTTCAAAAATGTTAGCAAATTCACCACTGATATTGTCTTAGTTTCCTTTTTTTTTTTTTTATTATACTTTTAAGTTCTAGGGTACATGTGCACAACGTGCAGGTTTGTTACATATGTATACATACGCCATGTTGGTGTGCTGTACCCATTAACTCGTCATTTACATTAGGTATATCGCCTAATGCTATCCCTCCCCCCTTCCCCCACCCTATGACAGGCCCCGGTGTGTGATGTTCCCCTTCCTGTGTCCAGGTGTTCTCATTGTTCAATTCCCACCTATGAGTGAGAACATGCGGTGTTTGATTTTTTGTCCTTGCAATAGTTTACTGAGAATGATGGTTTCCAGATTCATCCATATCCCTACAAAGGACATGAACTCATCCTTTTTTATGGCTGCGTCTTAGTTTCCTTTTTGTGTTAATATAATGAGTTTTGTCATTTTCCAAAGAATAAAATTAAGAGACAGAAGTTTTCTGACTCAATGAAAAAGGTAAGAATTAATTTTTAAGCAATCTCTAAAGTAGTGATTTTCAATTAGGAGAGTACAAATTCAGGGCAAGGCTGGAGAGAGTGTCTTTGTAGTTTGAAAAGAAATATTCAGTTGCCGGGCACGGTGGCTCACGCCTGTAATCCCGGAACTTTGGGAGGCTGAGGCGGGCGGATCACGAGGTCATGAGATCAAGACCATCCTGGCTAACACGGTGAAACCCTGTCTCCACTAAAAATACCAAAAAAAAAAACAGCCAGGTGTGGTGGCGGGCACCGGTAGTCCCAGCTACTTGGGAGGCTGAGGCAGGAGAATGGCGTGAACCTGGGAGGCGGGGCTTGCAGTGAGCCGAGACCGCGCCACTGCACTCCAGCCTGGGCGACAAAGCAAGACTCCGTCTCAAAACAAAACAAAATAAAAAAACAAAAAAAACAATATTCAGAATTACTATTACTTGATTTATGTTTTCATTATAGCAGTGGATTTGTTGTGAAATTTTAAACTTAAATGAGAGGATTCTTTTTTAATACTAATTCAAAGGGAACATGAGTTTTAATTAAGTTGAGAAACACTACCCTATAGATGAAATTAGATCACAGTAAGCTGATTCCTTTATGGGCTGGAGACAGTCCTCAGGACTTTAATTCTTTGCCCTGCCCTTGTTAGATATGCAGAGTGTATAACCAAGGTAAATGTCAACGATTCTCTCCTTATATAAATACCTTCTGGGATGGAAAGTTCATGTTTTATAAACCCTAAGTCAGAATCTAAAACTTTGGTTGTCAGAAAGTTCTGCCTCATGTGCTGCATTCTCTGATTACATATTCAGCTTATTTCCTCTTGTTTTCTGTTGGAGATGGAAAACTACCTGGCACCCTCTTCTTAGTAATATAACTTACTTGAAAGGCCTTTTGGTCACCAGGACTTTTTTCCATTCTCAGCCTGATTTTCCTTCGATTTTCTTACCTCATGCATCTGCTTTGTGTTTTATTTTGTTTCAGGCATACCATGAAGTTCCCTACACAACGTCCTTTACCTTGGCCAAACAGTTGTCCTTTTATAAGATCCGTACCATTGCCCCAGGCAAGACTCACACAGCTGCTATTGATGGTAAGTTGATTTACAACTGTATCACATGCCTTAGTAGCTGAGCCTCTTTTATTCTATCAGGTATTAGGTTTTCTTTATATGTATATCATCCCGATTTCCCCTGAAAATCTAGTATTATTTCATTAATGTATTCAGGTACATATTTTTATTGATAATTATTATAAATGCATAATAAATACATCCTTTTATGAGAACACCACACCTATGATTCCAGACATCTGTTGTCTCTGATTAGCACCTTTTATAAGTATTCTAAGGTAGTACTCATTTTTCTCACTACAAATACAGTACTGGAGAGAGAATACAATATCGAGTCGCTGACTGGATCTAATTGGTTATAGTGCCTAGATACTGTATTTGTCCTAGGTCCAGGATCATGTGGCTAGTTTTATATTTGTATATTCTAACAACCGGAAGCTAATCCATGAAGTCTGCTTGGCTGCATCTTCTCTGGGTTCCAGGACTCATTTGTGCCTTGTTATTTCTTTTTGCTTCTCTCTCAGAGCGAGGCCGGCTGCTGACCTTTGGCTGCAACAAGTGTGGGCAGCTGGGCGTTGGGAACTACAAGAAGCGTCTGGGAATCAACCTGTTGGGGGGACCCCTTGGTGGGAAGCAAGTGATCAGGGTCTCCTGCGGTGATGAGTTTACCATTGCTGCCACTGATGGTGAGTCTGTACATATCATTTCAAGCTTTCTGGACACATGGCTGTGTTTCAGTTCTTGGCTGGGAAAGAAATGGACTAGTTATTTGTATAGCTGAATTGTGGATGTACTTTTTTATTTGTATTAAATTGGTGGCCGGTTATATATATTGAGCTTTATTAACTTTTCATGTGTTCAACATAGTGATTGTTTTTAAAGGCCAGATTTCTAGATAATGATAGGTTAATGTTCTACATTCCTCCTTTTTTCATTTCAGCTTTCACTTTTTTGGTAAAATGTTATAAGAATTATTAAGTACTTCTATATAACTTGCCCAGTATCTTGTTGATTGATTTCAGTAAACATTGATTGGGTAGCTGGAGAGAACAGCATATTTTCTCTGTTGGCTGGGGTCACCTGTACTGCAGTGATGTCCATAGGGACTGCTAAGGTTTGAAGGGCTGCTTTCCGCTATATTATGTATCTCTCAGATTTCTGAGTTGGTCTAATTGATTTTTCTCCTCTCTTTTCTCTGAGACGATTTTTTTGTTTGTTTGTTTTGTTTTTTGAAACAGAGTTTCGCTCTTGTTGCCCAGGCTGGAGTGCAATGGCGCAATCTCGGCTCATCACAGCCTCTGCCTCCCAGGTTCAAGCGATTCTCCTGCCTCAGCCTCCCGAGTAGCTGGGATTACAGGCATGCGCCACCATACTCGGCTAATTTCTGTATTTTTAGTAGAGACGGGGTTTCTTTATGTTGGTCAGCTGGTCTCGAACTCCCAACCTCAGGTGATCCGCTTGCCTCGGCCTCCCAAAGTGCTGAGATTACAGGCGTGAGCCATTGTGCCTGGCCTTTTTTTTTTTTTTTTTTTTTTTTTTTTTTTTTTTTGAGATGGAGTCTTGCTCTATTGCCCAGCCTAGAGTACAATGGCGCGATCTTGGCTCACTGCAACCTCCACCTCCCGGGTTCAAGTGATTCTTGTGCCTCAGCCTCCTGAGTAGCTGGAACTACAGGCACAAACCACCACGTCCAGCTAATTTTTGTATTTTTAGTACAGACAGGGTTTCACCATGTTAGCCAGGCTGGTCTCGAACTCCTGACCTCGTGATCTGCCCACCTCGGCCTGCCAGAGTGCTGGGATTACAGGTGTGAGCCACTGCACCTGGTCCTCTGTGGCTATTTCTTTCCGCAGTATTGTCTGGTTCCTCACTCCTCTTCTTTTTTTTTTTTTTTTGAGACACAATCTCACTGTTGTCGCCCAGGCTGGAGTGCAGTGGCGCGATCTCAGCTCACTGCAACTACCGCCTCCCAGGTTCAAGCGATTCTCCTGCCTTAGCCTCCTGAGTAGCTGGGATTACAGGCACTCGCCACCATGCCCAGCTAATTTTTGTATTTTTAGTAGAGATGGGGTTTTGCCCTGTTAGCCAGACTGGTCTTGAACTCCTGACCTCAGATGATCCACCCGCCTTGGCCTCCGAAAGTGCTGGGATTATAGGCGTGAGCCACCACTCCTGGTCACTCCTTCTCTTCTGTACTGCTGCTGTTGCTATCCTACATTCCCTTCCTTCTTTGCTTGCTTTTTTCCTCTTTTTTCTTTTTCCTGTGTCATCATCTGAACTTCTAAATTTTTGTAGCCACTTTTTTCACTTGACTGGTAACAACTCACATTTCATTTTCTCTCTTTTTCTTTTTGAGACAGAGTCTCGCTCTGTCACCCAGGCTGGAGTACAGTGGTATGATCTCGGCTCAGTGCAGCCTCCACCTCCCGGGTTCAAGTGCTTCTCCTGCCTCAGCCTCCCAAGTAGCTGGAATTACAGGCGTGTGCCACCATGCCCAGCCAATACATTTAATCTTCTTATCTTTTGACTCATCAACTTTTTTGTTGTTGCTTGTGCTCTGAGATATCCTTGTTTTCTTTTGGTCCATGCCTGTTCTGTACTCATGAGGGGTCTCAGGGATATTGTGATCTGTTACCATATTTAAATAAACCAGCATTCAGAACAGCACATTAACTCTCTCTGCTTGTCCCAAAATAAGGGACTTTAAGGAGCAAACTGTTTAGGTCAGACTTGGATAAATGGAAACGTTACACAGGACAGTCAGGATGTCACTGAAGATAAATTTAGTGCAGCAACTGCAGTAGCACTTTCTGACAGGGCTTCAGAGAGCTCATGTTTCTTGAATAGATCTGTGTAGTTCATGACTTTAACTTCAGAATGAGGAATGTAAATTTGGATTCTGTGGCTGGGCATATTACCTCTTGATGTTCCTATACTCCTCTGAACTGTACTTGATGGCCTCATTCATGTCCAAGTCCTCTTTTAGGCTCTAGGAATATAGAAATGAGTCTCAGAAAACTCCTGCTTTCAAGGAGCTCACACTCTAGTAGAATAGGGGACTAGCACAGGCAGGTGTTAGGTGCTATAATAGCAGCAGCCTAGTCTTCTAAGTCCTGGAGTACCCCAAGGCTCACTTGTCTCTCCAAAGTGAGCTTGTTCCCTTAAATTCCCCCTATACATTGACTGCTTTATATCACCAGGCTTGACCTTCAGACTCATTTATTCAACAGCTCCTCAACTTGATGTCTAAATTTAGGGTGGGCCATATAACCCAGTTATCTTAGACCAATCCTGATTCATGCCTTCATGCCTGTTGTCCTGGCTTAATGATTAATAGCCACCCTGTTTCATTTTTTTTTAAAAGCCTGATTTGGATAAGAAGTTATAGGCATCTCAGACAAACTTAGTATACTCAAAATCAAACTTCTGATTTTCTGCCCAGATCTGTACCTCCTGCAGCCTTCCTGTCTCAGTAAATGGCAACTTCCTCCTACACTCCACATCCCATCCATATTGGTTATCTTCAGAATAAATCCAACCACTTCTCACCATCTCCACTACAACTGGTCTCCCTGCTTCCATCCTTGCTCCCCTGCCATCAGTTCTCCTCAGTAGACAGAGGGATTCTCTTAAATAACTACTGCTCAAAACCTCCAGTGGTTTCCTCTATCAGTCAGTAAGTGCCAGAGTCATCACAGTGGCCCGACTGGCCCTATGTGAGCAGGACCTCAGCCACCTCCTGACCCCTTCTGTTATTCCGTCCCTTCCTTTACTTTGTTCTAGCTGCAGGGGTCTCCTTGTTCCTTGTTTGTGCTGCTGACATTACTTTTGCTGTTGCTCTTCTCTCTGCCTGGAAACTCTTCGTCACTCCAGTAGATCTCTGTTCAAGTGTCAGAACTCCTCTGACCTACCCTATCTAAAATAATGATATCCCACCCCACTGTTACTCTTTGTTTCCACTTATTTTTCTCCACCATTTATCTTCATAGCATTTATCACCACCTTAAATATTAGGTGTATATTTATTATTATCAGTCTCCCCTACTAGAATGTCAGTTCCACAGGGCAAGGACTTGGTTTTGTTCACTGCTCTATCACCCCATGCAGTACCTGTCATGAAATAGATGTTCAGTCACTGTTTGAATGAATGACCAATAAAAAGTTGTTGAAGAAAAAGGTGAATGATTGGATGAATGAATGAGTGAATGGCAGTACATAGGAAGAGTGGGCATTTTTACCCAAGTGGAATCAGGAAGAGTTTAAGCTTTATATAGGAGAATAAACAGCTTTCCCTTGTTTAGTACATAGTGGGAAGTCTTTCTAGCTCTAGGATATAAAGATGGGGAACCCGGAGAATTGGGAAGCCAGTGTTCTGTTAAATGGTCTACTGTTTAACTTTTTTCCTAGATAATCACATTTTTGCCTGGGGCAATGGTGGTAATGGCCGCCTGGCAATGACCCCCACAGAGAGACCACATGGCTCTGATATCTGTACCTCATGGCCTCGGCCTATTTTTGGATCTCTGCATCATGTCCCGGACCTGTCTTGCCGTGGATGGCATACCATTCTCATCGTTGGTAAGAGTTTCATATGTCTGGGGTTGGGATGGCTTTGACAGAGGATGGACCCACATCTGAGTACTGTTAGTCACATTGTTGGAAACAGAAATGTCCTGAAGAAGCCATTTCTGTAAGTCTTGTAATGGTCAAGGATGCCATGCCTAGTGGTGGGAACAGAACATTGTCATTTCCTGGAGCTTTGCTATCTGCCATCTCTTGATTATTTTTTAATATAAGTTTGGGCTCTGCCTGCCCCCTTAGAATTGATTTTTTTGGTTGTTTTTTTTTGTCTTTTTTTTGAGTTGGAGTTTCACTCTTTTCGCCCAGGCTGGAGTGCTATGGTGTGATCTCGGCTCACTGCAACCTCCGCCTCTTGGGTTCAAGCAAATTCTCTTGCCTCAGCCTCCCAAGTAGCTTGGACTATAGGTGCCTACCACCACGCCTGACTAATTTTTGTATTTTTGGTAGAGATGGGGTTCCACCACGTTGGCCAGGCTGGTCTAGAACTCCTGACCTCAGGTGATCCACCTGCCTCAGCCTCCCAAAGTGCTGGGATTACAGGCATGAGCCACCGTGCCTGGCCCTAGAATTTGTTACTTCTAATCATCCACCAATTAATTTGTTGTCTGTGCTCATGCTTTCATGAGAAACATTCAGTACATCCTTTAAAAGAAACTTTAAATTATAAGCACTTTCTGCATAAAGATTACTTTGTTAGGAACTACTTTATAAATGCCTGTGTAAGGGTTTATAAGTCTACTTTTAGATCAGTGGTTTGCAACCTTAGCAGCACATACATTAGAATCCTTGAGAAGCTTTTTTTTTTTTTTTTTTTTTTTTTGAGACGAAGTCTCGCTCTGTCGCCCAGGCTGGAGCGCAGTGGTGCGATCTCAGCTCACTGCATCCTCCCAGGTTCAAGCGATTCTCCTGCCTCAGTCTCTCGAGTAGCTGGGACTACAGGAGTGTACCATCACACCTGGCTAATTTTTGGATTTTTTAGTAGAGATGGGGTTTCACCATATTAGCCAGGCTGGTCTTGAACTCCTGACCTCATGATCTGCCTGCCTCGGCCTCCCAAAGTGCTGAGATTACAGACATGAGCCACTGAACCCGGCCAAGAAGCTTTTAAGAATACCACGGTCCAGACCCTATCCCTGACCAATTAAATCAGAATCTCTGGGGTGGAACCTACAGACCTATGCAATGTTACTTCCTTTTTTTAAATTTTGAGACAGAGTCTCACTCTGTTACCCAGAGTAGAGTGCAGTGGCACAGACACAGCTCACTGTAGTTTCGCTCTCCCAGGCTCAATTGATCCTCTCACCTGAGCCTCCCAAGTAGCTGGGACTACAGGCCAGTGCCACCACACCTGGCTAGCTTTGCATTTTTTTTTAGAGATTGGGTTTTGCCATGTTGCCTAGGCTGGTCTCAAACACATGGTTACTTTTTAAAACTTCCCAGGTGATTCCAGTGACCAGCCAAGGCAGACAGTTGCTAATGTAGATAGTGAATATACTTAGAATAGCAAGTGGTGCTTAGCTTATGATACTAATTTCTAAAACTGTAAGTTATAGTTCTAAAGTTATCTGGAGTCAAGGAGAGCAATTATCTCCCTATCCTAGTCTTCTCTCATTTTTCTTGCCTATATCAGTATACAGTGCTTACCTACCAAATATTTTTTCTCAGAGAAAGTATTGAATTCTAAGACCATCCGTTCCAATAGCAGTGGCTTATCCATTGGAACTGGTAAGTACCAATGTTTCAGGTACCAGTGGTTTTCTGAAGTGTGGGTCTTTTGGTTAGATTCCATGTAGACTCCAAAACCCAAAGGAAAATGGGAAATGTCTTTGGGAAGTGAGGAATACAGTGGTTAAGAGAGAAGATCATATTTTGTTTGGTTTTGCAGTAAGTTATAACTTTTACATTGTGGTCAGAGAGACACTACATCATCTTTGCCTCCAACGCATATGCAAGTAATTAAGTAGCTTGCCCAGTACTGTAATATGACTTATGTATTATTCCTTTCCTTACTATTCTAGGGGGTAATGAGTCCTCTACTTCCACGGTATTCCCAGGGGTATTCCAGTCTAAAGAAATAGTTCACCAAAACAGGCACTCAGAATAAAACTCGGCTAAACTTTCAGTGTGGTTAGGAGAATCATCCCAAAGATCTCTGATAGATTTCCTTTGACTGCTGTCTTCATGGTTCTCTATTATTGGGGACCATGCTAGGAAATTGAATCTATTTTCCTTTTTGGTTTTCTACCTGCTAGAGTCCCTGTAGTCTTTGATGTCTCAGAACCAGGATTCTGATTTATTTTATTTATTTATTTTTTTTGAGGCACAGTCTTGCTCTGTCATCCAGGCTGGAGTGCAATGGCGCAATCTCGGCTCACTGCATCCTCTGCCTCCCAGGTTCAAGTGGTTCACCTTCCTCAGCCTCCCAAGTAGCTGGGATTACAGGCATGCACCACCACACTCAGCTATTTTTTGTATTTTTAGTAGGTTTGGCCAGGCTGGTCTCAAACTCCTGGCCTCAAGTGATCTGCCCACCTCAGCCTCCCAAAGTGCTGGGATTACAGGCATGAGCCACCATGCCCAGCCCAGATTCTGATATTGTTTGGAATCAAAACACATAAACACCCAGAATAAAAGCAGATTAAAGCTGGGCACAGTGGCACAGCCGTTAGTCCCAGGTACTCAGGAAGCTGAGTCAGGAGGATTACTTGAGGCCAGGAGTTCAAGGTTACAGTGCACTATCATCATGCCTATGAATAGCCACTGCAATCCGGCCTGGGCAACATAGCAAGACCCTATCTCGAATAAATGAATAAATACATAAACAATCGGTCAATCAAACAGATTAAACCTCCAAAAAGAAACAGCTGAAAACATGATCTAGACTTGTTGAACTTCAGTTTACACATATACACTGACTTATTACACCATATTATATATAGTTAAGTAGCCCATTGCTTGGCATCTCTGTTTATGTATATTAATATCTGTCAAAACTGACTGAAGATCTTTCGCTAAGCACAGCAGTTCTACTACAAGTTTGTTTTACTAGAACAGTATTTAAAGGAAAAACATAAAATTAAAAGCAAATGTCCATTGGTGGGAAGATGTAAACTCGAGGAAGAGCAGGGATTTTTGTCTTTTTTATTTATCAATTTTATCTACTTCCCTAGAACAGTGCCTGGCAAATGGTAAATGCTCAGTAACTATTTGTTGATTAAATGCGTTATAACCATCCATTGGAGTGAAAGTGAACATCTCCAAATATTTCCATAATGTGAAATGTAAAAAGCAAGTTGCAGCAGACTACATGCCTTTTTATAAAGTTTAGAAACAAGTAAAATAGGCTGGGTGTGGTGGCTCACGCCTGTAACACCAGCACTTTGGGAGGCCAAGGCAGGCAGATCACAAGGTCAGGAGATTGAGAGTATCGTGGCCAACATGGTGAAACCCTGTCTCTACTAAAATACAAAAAAAAATTAGCCAGGCATGGTGGTGCACACCTGTAGTCCCAGCTACTTGGGAGGCTGAGGCAGGGGAATCACTTGAACCTGGGAGGCAGGGGTTGCAGTGAGCCACGATTGCGCCACTGTACAGCCAGCCTGGCGAAAGAGTGAGACTCCATCTCAAAAAAAATAAATAAAAGTAAAATGAATAGTAATGTATTATTTAAGGATACATAAAGGCGATAAAGTTTTTAAGAAGAAATGATAAATATAAAATTAAACAGAATGGTTTCATCTGGGTAGGAGGCCAGAGAAGGAAGGAATTCACACGGCAAATACAGTGATATAGGTAATGCTCTAGTTCAGCAGTGTCCAGTAGATCTTTTTGCAACAATGGAAATGTTCCATATCGGTGCTGTTCAGTATAGTAGCTACCAGCTTTCTGTGGCTATTGAGCACTCCAGAGAGTGGCTTGTGTGACTGAGGAACTGAATTTTTAATTCTCTTTAAGTTTAAGCGGGCACATATGGCTAGTAACTCATATTGGATAGTGCAATTCTAGTTCTAGTGGCAAATAGACCTATGTTTATTGTTAGGCATGAAAATTTACACGTATGTTAAAATAGTCTTAGGTATATCTAAAATGCAGCATAATCTTAAAAAGCCATTTAAAACAAAAAGTAAGCTTCAGAACTCACTTTGGTAACTATAGTTCTGCTGCTTCCGTAGGATCTCAGCATGACCCAGTTAGTCCCCAGGCCAGCACAGCAGGTGATAATTAACCCTTCTTTACATTTAGCCTCAGAAAATACCAGGCATCAGAACAAGGATCCCTGAGGAGTAAGAGAAAAAAAAAAAGAAAATACCAGGCAATTTTTCTTTAACTTTGACAGATTAATCTTCTTAATTATATTTTTATTTGGCCCATATTAAAATTCAGTTTCATTTCCTGACCACACATCAGCTAGTCTTCATTAAGGTTGCTTGGAATATGCTGTATGATATGAAAGAATCAGCCATTATATTATAAAAATGGATACAGATAGTCGTCAGAGAATGTAATATTCACATTAAATTTTGAAGAATTGGCCGGGCGCAGTGGCTGACGCCTGTAATCCCAGCACTTTGGGAGGCCGAGGCGGGTGGATCACTTGAGGTCAGGAATTCAAGGCCAGCCTGGCCAACATGGTGAAACCCTGTCTTTACTGAAAATACAAAAATTAGCCAGGCATGGTGGCGGGCACCTGTAATCCCAGCTACTCAGGAGGCTGAGGCACGAGAATCACTTGAAGCCAGGAGGCGGAGGTTGCAGTGAGCCAAGATCGTGCCACTGCACTCTAGCCTGGATGACAGAATGAAACTGTGCCTCAAAAAAAAAAAATTGCTGGGTGCAGTGGCTCACGCCTGTAATCCCAGCACTTTGGGAGGCCAAGGTAGGTGGATCACCTGAGTTCGAGACCAGCCTGGCCAACATAGTGAAACCCCGCCTCTACTAAAAATACAAAACTTAGCTGGGCATGGTGGTGTGTGCCTGTAATCCCAGCTACTCGGGAGGCTGAGACAGGAGAATTGCTTGAACCTGGGAGGCAGAGGTTGCAGTGAGCCAAGATCGGGCCACTGCACTCCAGCCTGAGCAACAGAAGCTAGACTCGGTCTCAAATAAAAAAAAAAAAGTTGAAGAATTCAACATTCAGATTTTCCCCGGACAGGGAGTTAATGGTAAGTTTATCTGGCAACTTTAAGAGGAGTTTGGCTCAAATATTAAAGACCTTTTTATATAAGATAAGTGTCTATGGAGGATGCTGGAATCTGAATGTATCTCTTAAAGAAGCAGAGTAAGCATGGGTGCTAGATTTGGTGGGCTGTGGTTGGGGGGATTGTTTGGTAATGCTTTTAGAATATTGATAACCTGCTATGGATACAAGATAAACAAAGTTGGTAAATGGAAGTGAATTATCATTATGAGCATCCTGATATACAAATACAACTATACAAAATTACAAAACATAGTTTGTATGAAAACCAAAAATTTAGTCCCTAACATTTGACTTGCACTGTTGCCATTGCACTTCATGCAGCTTATAGGCACCTTTCCAGGGTAAGTAGGGTTGTCAAATGGTAAATCTGTCTTGCTGCATAGCAAAGCTGTCTATTTCTGTGCTGTATATCTGTCAGTGTTTCAGAGCTCTAGCCCGGGAGGAGGCGGCGGGGGCGGCGGTGGTGAAGAAGAGGACAGTCAGCAGGAATCTGAAACTCCTGACCCAAGTGGAGGCTTCCGAGGAACAATGGAAGCAGACCGAGGAATGGAAGGTTTAATCAGTCCCACAGAGGCCATGGGGAACAGTAATGGGGCCAGCAGCTCCTGTCCTGGCTGGCTTCGAAAGGTAATTCCTTTGGAAGAAGTAACTTGGATAAAATATGTGGCCCTTTGCAGGAACTAGAAAGAGCTGTCAGGGTCTCTCAGTTTTCCAAGTACCTAGTAAACTGTTGTGCATCCTGAATCCAGCCTTCTGATTTCTACCTGGAAAGAAATTGCCTAATCACTAATCCTTTTTTCTTTCCAAAAAGATAAAAAATGTTCTCATACCCTTGTTACTTAAGTGAATGTATTATAAGTTACTATAACCTACCTTGATGGCAGTTTTTGTAGTACATGTATATAAAGATTAAGCTTACAGATTTTATACTGTCATTTATAGAAATGGAATATTGGAGCAGTTGGAATGCCTTACAATAGGAAAATGGTTGATGAAAGTTGAGATACAGAAAGTAAAAATGTTGGATTGGGCACAGTGGCTCATGCCTATAATTCCAGCACTTTGGGAGGCTGAGGCAGGAGGATCACTTGAGCCTAGGAGCTCAAGACCAGCTTGGGCAACACAGCAAGACCTTGTCTGTACCAAAAATTTAAAAAATTAGCCGGGTGTAGTAGTGTGCACCTATAGTTCCAGCTACTCAGGAGGCTGAGGCAGGATGATCACTTGAACCTGGGAAGTCGAGGCTGAAGTGAGCCGAGCTGTGCCATGATTGTACCACTGCAATCCAGCCTGGGTGACAAAGCAAAACCCTGTTCAAAAAAAAAAAAAAGTAAGAATGTTGAAGTATATTTATTTTCATGGAAAGTTACTCACAACATATGGCTATGCAGAAGAGGATGATATATCTGTATGATCTCATTCTTTTAGGAAATATGTAACACACAAAAGAATGTCAACAAGACTATGTATTGACAGTTTTTAAAGTGGTTGTCTGTAAGTGATGGAATTGCTGGTGAATTTTATTAGTTTCCTTTGCCCATTTGTATTTTCTCATTTTCTACAGTAAATATTTATGGTTTGTGAAATTTTAAATTTTTTACCAAAAAAAAAAAAAAAAAGACCGAGCATGATGGCTCCCAGCTGTAATTCCAGCACTTTGGGAGGCCAAGGCAGGAGGATTGCTTGAGCCCAGGAGTTTGAGACCAGCCTAGACAACATAGGGAGACCCCATCTCTATAAAAATTTAAAAAAAAATAAGGCCAGGGCCAGGCATGGTGGCTCACATCTGTAATCCCAGCTCTTTGGGAGGCCAAGGCGGGAGGATCACCTGAGGTCAGGAGTTTGAGAACAGCCTGGCCAATCATGGTGAAACCCCATCTCTACTAAAAATACAAAAATTAGCCGGGCAAGGTGGCTCACGCCTGTAATCCCAGCACTTTGGGAGGCTGAGGCGGGCGGATCACAAGGTCAAGAGATCAAGACCATCCTGGCCAACATGGTGAAACCCCATCTCTATTAAAAATACAAAAATTAGCCGGGCGTTGTGGCGCACGCCTGTAGTCCCAGCTGCTCAGGAGGCTGAGGCAGGAGAATCGCTTGAACCCAGGAGGTGGAGGTTGCAGTGAGCCGAGATTGCGCCACTGCACTTTGGCCTGGTGACAGAGCGAGACTCCGTCTCAAAAAAAAAAAAAAATTAGCTGGGCATGGTGGCACGCACCTGTAATCCCAGCTACCTGGGAGGCTGAGCCAGGAGAATCACTTGAGCCCAGGAGGCGAAGGTTGCAGTGAGCCGAGATCGCACCACTGCAGTCCAGCCTGGGCGACAGAGTGAGACTCCATCTCAAAAAATAAATAGATAAATAAATAAGGCTGGGCGAGGTGGCTCACACCTGTAATCCCAGCACTTTGGGAGGCCAAGGCGGGCAGATCACTTGAGGTCAGGAGTTTGAAACCAGCCTGGCCAACATGGTGAAACTCTGTCTCTACTAAAAATACAAAAAATTAGCCAGTTGTGGTGGTACACGCTTGTAATCCCAGCTACTTGGGAGGCTGAAGTAGGAGGACCACTTGAACCTGGGAGGTGAAGGTTGCAGTGAGCCGAGATTGTGCCACTGCACTTCAGCCTGGTGACAGAGTGAGATTCTGTCTCAAAAAAATAATAATTAGCCGGGCATGGTGGCACATGCCTGTGGTCCTAGCTACTCAGGAGGCTGATGTGGAAGGATTATTTGAGTCCCAAAGGTCAGGACTACAGTGAGTCATGGTTGTGCCACTGCACTCCAGCCTGGGCAACAGAGCAAGACCCTGTTTCAAAAAAAAAAATCTGTAGGTTTAAAGCTCCCTGTCTAATAAGACTAAACTTGCTAGTGATTTGAGGAGCGTGAACAGAGGAAGCAGCATGCTGTTCTGTCTGCACCTTTAGCCTCAGCTTTCAGCAGTGTTGCAGCCAGCCTCACTGACACTTCCTTGGAGCGCCCCAGCTCACTGAATAGCCTGTGTAGAATAAGCGTGTTGGAGTGACACACCAGAAACTCCAGCCTGTGTTCTTTGAGTTTGCCTTTGCATCACTGTTTCTCTGATGAAGGGGTGGCAGTTTTTTCACAGGTAGGCTGTGATATGTTGTTAACCACAACTGTCTTGCCCACTAGAGGGTGCTGAAGTCATGAGAGAGGGAAAACTATAGCAAAAAGAAGGGAATTTGGGAGGAAGCAAATACTGCAAACAGACTAATGAGATTCTTTCTCATATACATAGGAGCTGGAAAATGCAGAATTTATCCCCATGCCTGACAGCCCATCTCCTCTCAGTGCAGCGTTTTCAGAATCTGAGAAAGATACCCTGCCCTATGAAGAGCTGCAAGGACTCAAAGTGGCCTCTGAAGCTCCTTTGGAACACAAACCCCAAGTAGAAGCCTCGGTAACTGAGCTTTTTGCCTTTGAATCACAACTAGGTAAACAGTCACTGCAAGCTCTGCCTGGTTCTTCTGGCCTCGCTCTAGCTTTTGGGTTTCAGCTGCCCTGCATCAACTCATTATACTGTCTATTCAGCAGTACTTAAAGCCTCAACCCAAGACTAAACTGAGTTGCCTCAGAAAGGTATTTACCCTTCCACATTTCTGACAGGCTAACACCTTTCTAAAGGGATTGTCTTTTCCCTCTGCCTCAGAAATACCAAAATTCAAATTCAGTTTTTCATGACACTGGCAGGGTAGGTTAGAGGCTCTAAATATAAGAAAGAAGTAATACTGGTAGTCTAGTGAGGAAGCAACACATGTACACCTAACCTTGGTAAAAATGACATTGTGGTAAATACCTCAGTAAAACTATAATCCAAGGTCATGAAACTTTTTCTATAAAAGGCTACATAATTATTTTAGACTTTTCCTATTAAAGGCCACATAGTAATTATTTTAGACCATTTTAGACAGAAATGTGTACAGCCTCTTTTGCAACTACTCAACTCTGACATTGTAGCACAAAAAGCAGCTTCAAGTAATACATAATGAATGGGCATCCTTGTGTTCCAATAAAATTGTATTTACAAAAACAGGCAGTGGGCCAGAATTGGCCTATGGGCTATTTGTTGAACCCTCCTATAAAAAAAGTACAGTAGAAAAGAGAAAAATCCAGACTAGGATCATCAGAAAGCTTCCCAGAAGAGGTAATAATACCTTTGAAACTTCAAGGTGAATGTTTTAATTTCTCTGTCAGTTCACCTTCTTAAATTGTGTTGGTGGTCCTGTTTACTGACCACCTCTCAGATCTTTTCTAAAGTGTGATTCACTGCATATCATGAATATTGACCCTTTGGGTCTGTGATCTGAAAGACTTGTTCCAAACCAAATCATGCTTTTCCCTACTTCAGCATTTTAAATGAGAAGATACCAAGGTGCTTTAAAATTTTTCACAAAGTCCTCCAAAATAGATGATTGGTCTCCCACCTTGGCCTAATGGGGACTGAGGCAGAGAGTTCACTTTCCATGTTATGTCAGTGCCCATCGCTGTTATAATCCTAGCATTTCTGTTTCTCGTACATATATTCATGTGTATATATGATTTATCTTGTTAATTTAAAAGTAAAATCCGATTGCACTTAGAGGAAGTTTGGATTGAGGAGCTATGACACCTGGGCAGAACCTCCTGCAATCTCCTTCTTGTCTCTCTAGTCACCTCGGCTGAATCCTGCAGTAACCTGTGCTGGGAAGGGAACACCACTGACTCCTCCTGCGTGTGCGTGCAGCTCTCTGCAGGTGGAGGTTGAGAGATTGCAGGGTCTGGTGTTAAAGTGTCTGGCTGAACAACAGAAGCTACAGCAAGAAAACCTCCAGATTTTTACCCAACTGCAGAAGTTGAACAAGAAATTAGAAGGAGGGCAGCAGGTGAGAGCATTAAAAGAATAATCCAATTTCTAAGCCTGTTTTGAAGAATCACAGAAACAAAACACAAAGTACTGAAATAGACTTGTTCCTTTGCAGGTCCTTACTTTTTTTTTGAGACGGAGTCTCGCTCTGTTGCCAGGCCAGAGTGCAGTGGTGCTATCTTGGCTTACTGCAACCTCCGCCTCCCGGATTCAAGCAATTCTCCTGCCTCAGCCTCCCGAGTAGCTGGGACTACAGGTGTGCACCACCATGCCCGGCTAATTTTGGTATTTTTAGTAGAGACAGGGTTTCACCGTGTTGGCCAGGATGGTCTCGATCACTTGACTTCATGATCCACCCGCCTCAGCCTCCCAAAGTGCTGGGATTACAGGTGTGAGCCACCACGCCTGGCCGATCCTTAGTTTTTAATGATACCATTTTTGTAATTATAATCCCAGAAGCCTTGGGCCTTGTTCAGGCACCTAGATTGAATCATTTTCATCACTTGCATTGCTTTTTCTTAGTGTATGTTTTTTCTTTTACAATACTTAATTACATACCTCTGAAAATAGACATTCTCCTGAACAACCACAATACTATAACCACACCTAAAAAAATTAATACTAGTATTGTCAATTCTCATCTAGTATCCAGCTGATACCTCAATTTTCCCAGTTTTCCCCCACAAAAATGTCCTTTATAACCATTTTTTATCAGACTAGAATCCAGTCAAGAATCCCACATTATATGTATGTCTCATTTCTTTTCATCTAAAACAGCTCCCTCCACCACCATCACCTTTTTTAAATTATTTTATTTTTATTTTTATTTTTATTTTTATTTTTATTTTTTGAGACAGTCTCACTCTGTTGCCCAGGCTGGAGTGCAGTGGCGTGATCTCGGCTTACTGCAACCTCCACCGCCCGGGTTCAAGTGATTCTTCTGCCTCAGCCTCCCGAGTAGCTGGGACTATAGACGCTTACCACCATGCCCAGCCAATTTTTGTATTTTTAGTAGAGATGGGATTTCACCATATTGGCCAGGCTGGTGTCAAACTCCTGACCTCGTGATCCACCTGCCTCGGCCTCCCAGAGTGCTAGGATTACAGGTGTGAGCCACTGCGCCAGGCCTTATTTATGTATTTATTTTGAGACAGGGTCTTGCATTGTCACCAAGGCTGGAGTGCAGTGGCACAAACATGGATCACTGCAGCCTTGACTTCCTAAGCTCAAGTGATTCTCTGACCTCAGCCCCCCAAGTAGCTGGAACTACAGGCATGTTCCACCATGCTCTGCTTCACCTTTTAAAAAAATACTTTTATGACATTGACTTGTTGAAGAAACCAGGGCAGTTGTTCAACAGAATGTCCCACATTCTAGATTTGTCTTGTTTTCTCAGGGTGTTGTCTAACTTGTTTTTCTGTCACCCTGTCTTTTCTGAAAACTGGAAGTTTAACCTAAGGCTTGATTAGATTCACATTAAACATTTTTAGTGAAAATACTTCAAAGGTGATGCTGCTTGCATTATTTTTCGAGAGCCATGCTATTGTTTTATATAGAGGGAAGTAGAAGCAGAGAAATAGGGTTAGGCCCTTGGCTTTGCCATTTGCCAGCTGTAGGTGTTTGGGCTACTTTGTTTTCTCTGAGCCCTGGTTTCTCACCTGAAAGAAAATAATAGACACCTTGTATGGTTCTTTGGAGGATTAAATGAACTAATGTTTATGAAATTACTTTAGAAAATAATATACAGGCTGAGCACGGTGGCTCACACCTGTAATCCCAGCACTTTGGGAGATTGCTTGAGCCCAGGAGTTCAAGACCAGCCTGGGCAACCTGGTGAAACCCCATCTCTACCAAAAATAAAAACTAACTGGGCATGATGGCACACGCCTATAGTCCCAGTTATTCAGGAGGCTGAGGTGGGAAGATCACCTGAATCTGGGGAGGTCAAGGCTGCAGTGATCCGTGATCACACCACTGCACTTCGGCGTAAGCAACAGAGCAAGACCCTGTCTCAAAAACACACACACACACAAGGTAAGATTGGCAGCTATAGCAGGGAGAAGATTGTTTTGCCCAGGACTTTTTCCATTTTAAAACTAAGAGTTCTGCATCCCAGGAAACCCCGCAGTCCTGGACAAACCTGGATAGTTGGTCACCCTACCTGCAGTAAATATAAAGGTATGGACTGTATCTAAAATAGTGCCATGAGCGTCTCACAAGATCGTGGCTACAAATCCTTAGCCACGCCTTAGCCAATGCCTTAGAAGTTGGCATTGAAAATATAGTACTGAACTACTTCTGTGACTAGGTGGCACTGTTGCTAATGTGGAACCGTGTTTTATCCGGACAGGTGGGGATGCATTCCAAAGGAACTCAGACAGCAAAGGAAGAGATGGAAATGGATCCAAAGCCTGACTTAGATTCAGATTCCTGGTGCCTCCTGGGAACAGACTCCTGTAGACCCAGCCTCTAGTCTCCTGAGCCTGTAGAGCCCCCAGGAGACTGGGACCCAAAGAACTTCACAGCACACTTACCGAATGCAGAGAGCAGCTTTCCTGGCTTTGTTCACTTGCAGAAAAGGAGCGCAAGGCAGAGGCTCTGAAGCACTTTCCTTGTACATTTGGAGAGTGGCATTGCCTTTTAGATAGGATCTAGGAGTGATTTTATTGTTTTGGAGAATGGAAGGGCCCCCATGGCCCTGGCTTTGTCATCAGTGACTGCCATAGCAACAGCAGCTCTGTACCTCATCTGTTGATCCCACCTTTGAAGAGGAGACACAGTGCTCACCTTAATTGCGCTGGTAGCAGCTTATATCCCATGTATCATTTTCACCATTGATTGGAAGCTGCCTTGGGAATTCAGTACCAGGCATTACCCCTCTGGGTGGGAGAGGGAGAAGTGTAAAGTTGGAGTGGGCTGGAATCAGGTGTGGCCCGCCCAGTGTCCTCTGCAGAGTGGTGAAGTAGTCTGGCCCTCTTGGGAGCCCTGAGTCCAGGAAAATATGTCTGATGGAGTCAATCTAGGGCTTGTTTCGAAAAAGTTCAGTTACTCTGTGCAGCTAAATGCTTTAGGAGGAAAGGTAGGCTTAGGTTGCTTTTCCTCTGAGGGTTGATTGAAATTTCTTCAGTGAGGAATAGAGAAAGGGCAGGACCCTCCTCATCACACAGCTGGTGTTTCAGGCTGTGACCAATGCAGGGTGGGATTTCCTAACTGTGGATGAGGGGATGAGGTGTCTCTGAGGGATGAGGTGTCTCAGAGAATTGAGTCCATGGGGCAGTCAGAATAGCCTTAAGAGAAAATCATGAAGGAGAAGAGGTCCTCCTTTAGCTGCCTCTACTTGGTATCTTAGAGAGGGCTTAGAGGGCTCTCAGTCTTCTGCCCATGAAAAGACTTCTTTGAGCCTCTGCCTTCATGGCTCTTAGGGTTCTGATCTTGATATCAGCAGCCCCAACCACTTTCTTTCTGAATGTCTAGTCAGTATTTTTCCCCTTTTGGTGTTTTATGAAGCCATGTGGTAACGAATGAATCTGTATCATTTTTCCTACCTGAGTGGCCCAAAGCCAGCACCAAACCCTGGGAGTCCCTGAAGCCTAACAGAACAGGTAGAACTTGCAAAAGGAATTTGGCTGAGAGCTCACTTCTAATCCTGTACTCACTGTGTCTTTGTAGATAGAAACAAGCTAGCTTTACCAAAGAGAAATAGTGTCATAGAAGAACAAAACTTCATATAGAAAGTTCTAGGCAAGTATTTGATGGTTTCCTTAAGGATGTGAGCTTTGTATTTCCACCTAGCCTTGTAAAATGTTCCTGTGGTATTTTGTGTCACACATCCTACCTTTGATGAGTCTCACATCCCACCTTCCTATAAACAGCTAAATTAATTTTGTTTCATCTTCCCCAGACCAAAATGTTTGATAATCTTATCAACATTGTGGGAGGTCTTGTGCAATGGAAATTTTGCCATTTCTCCAAAACTGGTGGCATAAAGGCTGATGCTTGGGGAGAACCCCATTGCTCGGGACAGGCAACTCTGTTCAATGGGATCTTCTTTGGTTTGATGTTCCCATTGTTTTCTCAGTTCTGGGAAGCCTAGTACATTAGTACTAATGTAATCACTGAAACCTTTTCTTGAAATAAGGGAAGCAGCCAAACTTTGATTAAAGTTGCAAGTTCTGGGGACTTGCGGGGGTTGTCATAAACTGTAACAGTGGGTTTTGGTTCAGCATGTAAATGCAACTTTGATTTTCTTGAGGACCGATTGACCTGTCATGTCCCTGTATCCTCATGCTCATCATCTCAGCAGGCCTGAGAGGCTGGGTCAGTTTGGGTGTTCATCATGAGGATTGCTTCTGCCATGGAGCTGATGGACATGGGCAGGTTGCTGAGAAGGTGGGGTGAAAGTGAGTGCCGGGGGTGGGTGAGTGCCCTGGTCTTGTTCATAGGGGAGCCTTTCCCTAGCAGTGGAACGCTGTGGTCATTTTCTCTAGCATATTCCCTTGGGAAGTCTAGATTTGCTATTAATCTGGCTGAGAATCTAAGTTCTGTGCCTTAGAGACAGTTTGCACTTTCCCATATTGTGCCTGGGACAGCCATATGATTTTTTTTCCCACCAAACAAGTATGCAAACAGAAACCAGTTCAAAGGGGGATGGAGTAAAAGATGAGGCAGTAGAAATGCCTTTGAATGGTTTTCTGTAGCTAATTCTCTTTAAATTTTGTCCTGCTTTTTTTCTTTATGCAGTGCTAGGTGTTTTAAGTTTTCTAGTAGTATTGCTTTTGAGTTACAGTATAACCTGAGTTACTCCTCTGCTCTAACATTGTTGCAGAAGAACTAGTTTATTGTTAGCCAGGTTGCTTGAAAGGTTGAGAGTGGAGTGGTTTGGCATTTCTGTTTTAAATAAACATTTAAGCTCTTAATCAGTACTGTGCTTCAGTAAGCCTGTGCATGGACCTTAGTCTCTGGGGATAAAACATCCAGATTCTAAGCCTCCGTGAATCTTTGATTCTGTGAGTCTTTATATAAATAATGTTCTTGGAACAGAAACAATGCAAGGGACATCTGCACAGAAATATTCTTTGCTTCTCTCCAGTTTCTTATTCTTGCCAGCAGAATCATTGCTGCTGCTACAGCTTTTTTCCCAAAAATGTCTAAAAGTGCCGAAAGTGCAGAGGGAGGGAAAAAATGAGCCACTAAAAGAAGGATGATCCTTTCTTGTACCTACCTCCTCAGTCTCAGTGGGGGCCTTTCCAAGTGATAATGCCAGTTTATGGTTTGTAAAACTTTTCCTTCAAAGAGATTGAACTGAATTTGGTCTCCCTGGCATAGCACAGCCAAGTTACAACTTCTCTTGGCTGAGCATTTCACTGAAGTTTAAAGCAAAAGTACACTAAAAAATTTCATTTCACTTGCCATATGTTCACAAACATTCATAATAGAACAATTCAGGGGCAAGAATACATTTTAAATAAATTCATTCACATGAAATCCCTAAACCTCCAAAAAAGTATTCATGATGGTCAGGGCAGAGTGGGCTATAATCAGGACTATAAAACATGTTCCTAACTGCTGCAAAGCCAAAAATCATTTATTGTTTCAATGATTAACTGTGGAAATAAACACGCTGATCATTAAACCTCACAGAATGATGAACATTAGGGAGAAAAACTCCACTATGTCACATCTCTGTTACCACCTGTGTAGCTGTGGAGAGTGATAAATTGATAATGAAAGCAAACATTGGCCAGAAGGTGCTGTGCTGCATTACATACATTGCTGTTAAGAAATACTGTCTCGGGCCAGACGCAGTGGCTCACGCCTGTAATCCCAGCACTTTGGGAGGCCGAGGCGGGCGGATCACGAGGTCAGGAGATCGAGACCATCCTGGCTAACACAGTGAAATCCCGTCTCTACTAAAAATACAAAAAAATTAGCTGGGTGTTGTGGCAGGTGCCTGTAGTCCCAGCTACTCTGGAGGCTGAGGCAGGAGAATGGCGTGAACCCAGGAGGCGGAGTTTGCAGTGAGCTGAGATTGCGCCACGGTACTCCAGCCTGGGCGACAGAGTGAGACTCCATCTCAAAAATAAAAAAAAAAATACTGTCTTGGCAGGACAGGCGCGGTGGCTCACGCCTGTAATCCCAGCACTTTGGGAGGCCGAGGTGGGCAGGTCAGGAGTTCAAGACCATCCTGGCTAACACAGTGAAACCCCATCTCTACTAAAAATACAAAAAATCAGCCGGGCGTGGTGGTGGGCGCCTGTAGTCCCAGCTACTCGGGAGGCTGGGGCAGAAGAATGGCGTGAACCCGGGAGGCGGAGCTTGCAGTGGGCCAAGATCACTCCACTGCACTCCAGCCTGGGTGACAAGAGCGAGACTCCGTCTCAAAAAAAAAAAAAAAGAAATACTGTCTCGGCACATCTGCATACATTTTTAATGAAATGAGTTTCCACATGAGGAGTTTCCCCGTGAAATTTCTCCTATGGTGTAACCTTATGAACTTTATAATGTTTACTTGCACTAAACATTTCTTGGATAAAGTTGTATAAAATACAGACATTAAGAAGCAGCATGCATTTACTGTCATCGTCTGAGCTATCCAGGAAGAAATTCAGATTTTTTTAAAAAAAGGTTCTTATCTCTTCCCAGAGACCAGATCAAGATAAATTTAAAAGATGAAAGATATTTCTTTTTTTTTTTTCTTTTTTTTTTTTTGAGATGGATTCTTACTAGGTCACCAGGCTGGAGTGCAGTGGCGCGATCTCAGCTCACTGCAACCTCTGCCTCCTGGGTTCAAGCAATTCTCCTGCCTCAGCCTCCCGAGTAGTTGGGACTACAGGTGTGCGCCACCACGCCCAGCTAATTTTTGTATTTTTAGTAGAGACGGGGTTTCACCATGTTGGCCAGGATGGTCTCGATCTCTTGACTTTGTGATCCGCCCACCTCGGCCTCCCAAAGTGCTGGGATTACAGGCATGAGCCACCATGCTCGGCCTTGAAAGATATTTCTAATATAACCAAGGCCTAAACATGTAGAGATTAAAGGGAACACTTAAGGCATTGACTATTGTTTTATTTCTTTAGCAAAATGAGAGCAAACAACTGCTTCCTTTTTAGAAAGCACTCCCCACATATAACAACAATTTGTTCTCTCTGGAGGGCCCGGATCTATGACCTTACTAACATCCAGCGATCCCAAATCCAAGTGCCTGTGGTACCAGGCAGATAAGGTAAAGAAGTGAAGCAGGCCAAGTGAGACTGCAGTGGTCTGGTGCTACCATTCCCATCTGGAGGAGCATCTGATTCTAAACCCCACCCAATTTGTGCCATGCGGGTTGCTGGCCCAGTGTTTCCAGAACTTCCAGTTTTTCAAGAGATGTTCCATATCCCAGTTTTTAAATGTCAGATCATATTATGAATGCTAGGCCAGCGAAATAAAACATCTGTGGAGCAAAGCAATCCACATGTTGCCATTTTGTGACCTTGGCCACAGCTTACTCTTGCCATCTATTGCAATGTACTGGTTTACATTCCCACTTAAAGTGTACATTTCATTGAACTTGCCTAGGGAATGTACCTATTAGGTTAAATATCCATTATCTCTGTGTGAGGTTTCCTTAAGGGGCTAACCATAAAGCTTTATTATGTGATACCTCCTTTCCTTTGGAACAATTAAAAAGAGTGCAAAGAAATGTGTGCTCCTATTTAAATATATAGGATTTTTTCCCAGCCTGTGTCCTGCAGCTTCACCGCTAAAGCCTTAACTCACATTTCAAATTGGTCTGATCTGTTAGCCCAATTTTTTTTTCTTTTTTTTTTTTTTTTTTTTGAGATGGAGTCTCACTAGGTCACCAGGCTGGAGTGCAGTGGAAATGGAGCAAGAGTGAGTGGCCATTTGTTACTTAGTAAAATAGGATTTTGTTGTCTGTCTAGCCCTGTTGACTAGCTCAAATTGAGCAGTTTTTCTCCAGTATTTTAAACTAACAATTTGAGTAATACAGAACAGTAATCCTAAGATTTCTATCTGTTGTGCTAACTTCACTCCTATCTGAACTGATAATACTCTCGCAGACATTAACTTATCAGTTCTCTGATTTCACTAGTGTAGGACTCACTCATCTTCTTGTTTAATTTTAAATCTCCAGACCTCACTAATTGAAGGTCTAACTTGTGCTAGGCAATATTCTACACAGAGAAAATTAAAAAGATTTGATCCCTTTCCCTTCAAAGTTTACTCTCTGAAATAGAAGTTGACTATGCTATAATTGCCAAGGGCATGTGACACTGTGCAGTGTCCCAGCTTTGTTTTGTTTTGAGATGGGGTCTTGCTTTGTTGTCGAGGCCGCTCTTGAACTCCTGGCCTCAAGCAATCCTCCCACTTCAGCCTCCCAAAGTGCTGGAATTATAGGAATGAGCCACCATGACCAGCCTGTCTCAGCTTGCTTTGATGGTAGATTTTGCTGCCTCTAAACAGTCATTTAGCCAAACCGATTTGAAAGTAGAGTGCTACTAACAGCTAAAATGGAGGTTTCTTTCTTAACATATGAAACCCATTAGAAAAGAACAAGTAGAGAGAAGTATAATGTGTTTCCCCCCCAACACCCATCCCTACCCTGTAAAGTACATAAAGATCTTTCCTTTATTACACAGTACACCATAGGGAAGGTTTAGGAGACATTGGTGCCTTAACCTTACATACTTGTATTGGGTTTTGGCCAGGCTTATGCACCAGGGAGACCAAGGATAGATTTCCATTAATAATGCCTTATAGCAAAATTGTATTATCTTTTATAAGAGTTACTATCTGGGTGATCATGCCCCTCTGACACCAACACATCCTAATAACTCCAGCTTCTACAAAAGCAAGAGTTAACAGGAACTCTGAACATACATGCAGTGACAAGAAGGCAGAACCAGATGCAGGCACTTAACTAGCACAAACCACAAGTCAGGCATGCAAGAAAAGAGCTTTAATGGAGCCTGCTCATGACTCTTCAGTGTCTTCACCCATCAATTCTGAGGGCAATAACATAAAGCATACCAGCCCAAGGTTGTAATTTAGTGGGAAGCTGGGGCTTCCTTCTGCCTCCTGCTGCTTAGCAGTGGCTCTCTCCTCACAGATTTTAGCTCTGCAGGCAGATCTGGGAGCTGTTTGATTTCTTTCTGCTTTGCATCAAATTCTACTCCCATTTACTGCTGAAGAGAAGCAGAGCTTTCTGAACTATCCAAAAGTTTCCATTGTTGTCTGCTCAACTATAATGCTTCCTTAGAGGTGGAAGACAGTTCTTGATGGTCTTACACTTGGGAATGTGTTGCTCAGCCACCTTGGGAGCAAAGTGGTGGCTACACTGAGGACACTGAATGCAGTCTGGGTTTTCTGCAGGCAGGATGGGAGGCAAGTGTGAACAGTTTCCACCTTTGGCAGTTACCTGCTGGACCTCTCGAGCCTGGCGGAACGTATGGATAAAAGATTCATGCTTCTATCTCCAGTTGCTCTTCTGAGGAGGTTCAGCCTGTAATGTAAAAGGGAGACTGATCATTCAAGTTGGCACCTATCTCCTTCCTGAGTCTCTTGTAGAATAACAGTAAGAAAATGAAAAGGGTACTAATCTGCAAGGTCAAAGAGAACAGGAAAGGAGCAACAGCGGTAACTGACTTGCCAGCGTTGAGGCAAACCAAGGGCCTGCAAAGGAGGTACTGCTGAGAGGCAAGCCACTTTCCCAACAGAACCTGAGAGGTTCAGTGCTTGGAAGTACCCGATAGTGGAAAGTAAGGAGGTACAGGACTGAAAACAAGTAGGACCCCACGGCTCCTCCCACCTTATGCATCCAAGTGTTCAACACCCAAGCACACTCACAGAAGAGCAAGGATTTATTCTCTGGAGAAATTGAACCACACAGATTTCTGACTCAGGAAATCTAGACACGTGGAACTGGGTTAATCTTGGGGCTGAAAATGGGGATTAAGTACAAGTGTACATACCAAATTATCGAACTGTCAGCCTCCTTCCCCCACTCAGCCCCCAGAGTACCAAGCATATTGGCATCCTCATAGGAAAAAGAGGGGTACTCTGGATACACAGAACAGTCCAGAGAAAAGCCTTCAGATACTGACCTTGGGAAACGCTAATTAAAAGACTCACTATCTGGGAACCTTAATATGAAGATCCTTAGTCAATGAGCCCCACTTAAGCTTAAATATGAAAGGACAGCCAGGAATCATCAGATATTTGCTAAAAGCTCTAACAAGAAAAAGAGCCAAAAAGTCCACAAACAAAAACTTAGGAGGCAGCAACAAGGCAGGTGGCAGAAGAAAACTTTTTTTTAACATGAGACCATATCAACAAAATGAGTATTAGAAGAGATTGTGTCCATAAAACAAGAAGAGTATACTGTGAAAAAAAGACAACCAGAGAACCAGAAAGAACTATTGTAAATTAAAACTTTGATAGCTAAAAATAAAAATTATTTAAATAGAGGCCAGGTGTGATGGCTCACGCCTGTAATCCCAGCACTTTGGGAGGCCAACGTGGGGAGATCACAAGGTCAGGAAATCAAGACCATCCTGGCTAAGACGGTGAAATCCCATCTCTACTAAAAATACACAAAATTAGCTGGGCGTGGTGGCACACGCCTGTAGTCCCAGCTATTCAGGAGGCTGAGGCAGGAGAATTGCTTGAACCTAGGAGGCAGAGGTTGCAGTGAGCCAAGATCATGCCACTGCACTCCAGCCTGGGCGACAGAGCAAGACCCTGTCTCAAAAAATAAATAAATAAATAAATAGAAATGTTGTAAACTAATGTCAAGAAAATTTCTCAGAATGGGAAAAAAGATCAAGATGGAAAGTAAAAAGAAAAGATTAGAAAATTAGAAAGTTAATCCTGGAAGTCCAACATGTGACCAATAAGAGTTGCAGAAGGAACAGAGAAAGCACGAGGAGAAAATTATTGTTGTTTTGTTTTGTTTTGTTTTTGTTGTTGTTGTTATTTGAGATGGAGTCTTGCTTTGTCACCCAGGCTGGAGTGCAGTGGCGCAATCTTGGTTGACTGCAACGTCAGCCTCCTAGATTCAAGCGATTCTCCTATCTCAGCCTCCCAAGTAGCTGAGACTACAGGCGTGCGCCACCACGCCCGGCTAATTTTTGTATTTTTAGTAGAGATGGGGTTTCACCATATTGGTCAGGCTGGTCTTGAACACATGAGATCAGGTGATCCACCTGCCTCAGCCTCCCAAAGTACTGGGATTATAGGCGTGAGCCACAGCACCTGGTGAGGAGAAAATTATTAAGGAAATAATACAATTAACATTCCTAGAATTAAAGGTCACACATTTTGAGATTGAAATGGCTTACCAAGTATCTAGCACAATTATTGTAAAGTTTCAGAATTTCAAAATAAATAGAGAATCCCGTAGCCTTTTAAAAAAAAAGGTTTCTTGTAATGGAACAGGAATCAAAATGGCATTAGATTTCACAACAATACACTGGATGCTAAAAGCTAGTGGGAAATACTTTAAAAGTTCTAACAGATAATCATTTTCCTCCTAGAATTCTGTACCTAGCCAAATCATCAAATGGGAGCCTGTCATATAGATAGTGTCATTCATTCCAAGACAATATACCTGCTATGCACCCTTCTTAGTAAGCTTCAGCAAAGGAAGGAGTAATGCAAGAAAAAGGAAGACACAGGATGCTGGAAACAGAGGACCCAACAAAGAAGAGAAGCAAAGAGAAGTTCCAAGAGAATGAGTTTGCACCAGGCCTAGAGAATACCCAGTCCAGGTTGGAGCAGAAGGGATCAGAGTGGCTGAAGGGAGGTTTTCAGAATTAAAAAATCAAACTGATAGATTATGAGAGGTGTTTGAGCATTACAAAAACGTTAACAGATGTCTGATATCAGATGGATCGTTGCGGGGGAGAAAAAGACAGGTATGTAGAAAATGAAGGAAATGAAAACATACGTCCATTATTAATTTTAGGTACATGTGGGCAGAGACAGAATTTGTTCACTCATTAATGAACAAAATTTACTTGATCATTACAATGTGAAAGCTAACTACTTTTAACCAAAAATTGTGATTCGACTACAGTGGAAGGATAAGAGAAAGAGAACAGTAGGAGAGAGGGAATATGAAAGAGAACTTCACTCCCAGCTTCCATAAGAAGTTACCAGGTAGAACAGGCACCGTGGCTCACGCCTGTAATCCCAGCACTCTGGGAGGCCGAGGTGGGCAGATGACTTGAGGTTAGGAGTTCAGGACCAACTTGGCCAACTTGGTGAAACCCTGTCTTAACTAAAAATACAAAAATTAGCCGGGCGTGGTGGCACTCGCCTGTAAGCCCAGCTACTCAGGAGGCTGAGGCACAATAATTGCTTGAACACGGGAGGTGAAGGTTGCAGTAAGCCAAGATCAAGCCACTGCACTCCAGCCTGGGCGACAGAGACTCCGTCTCAAAAAAAACAAAACAAAACAAAAAAAAACAGGTAATGTAGAAAATTGATAAATCAAGAAAATAAGCATATTATTTGGAAATATGGAAAGGCAGACCAGAAGAACCATCTAACAGAACTGAAGGCTGCCTCCGGGGGCTGAATTAGGGGTTCCATTATAGGTCATTCAGTACTACATGTTTTTTAAATGCATGCAAACACTATTAAATTTTTTAAAGAGAAAAAAGACAACTAGCTCTTGGTGATCTGGCATTGTTAATGATGAATAATAGGAAGAGATACTATCAAAGGAAAAGAAAGGATCCTTCCAGAAAGTCTCTTGCCAAAACAGACAAGAAGGCAAGAGAGTATTAGCGATGGTATCCAGGAACCTTTAAAAGAATTCGAAGACCAGGCACGGTGGCTCATGCATGTAATCCCAACATTTTGGGAGGCTGAGGCGTGTGGATCACAAGGTCAGGAGTTCAAGACCAGCCTGGGCAAGATGGTGAAACCCCGTCTCTACTAAACATACAAAAATTAGCTGGGTGTGGTGGCGGGCACCTGTAATCCCAGCTACTCAGGAGACTGAGGCAGAGAATTGCTTGAACCCGGTAGGTGGAGGCTGCAGTGAGCCAAGATCGCTGCAGTGAGCCGAGATCGCGTCACTGCACTCCAGCCTGGGCAACAGGGCGAGACTCGGTCTCAAAAAAAGAATTTGATCAGGGGAAAGTTCCTCTCAAAGAATTTGATCAGGGGAAAGTTCCTCAAGTATATGAGATCCTTTAGTAATTTACTTCTTATACTCTAATTCCTATAATTTTATTCCTCATTGTACTGAAATTCTATTCAGTTAACACTTATTAAGCACAAAGCACAAAATATGTTCCCTGTCCTCAAAAATGCTTACAGTCCAGGAGAGAGACAGGGTGTACGTCTGCTGGGAGTTACGTGAAGATTAAAGGATACCAGGAAAATCACCTGTTCTTGAGTACTCTAGAGGAATGACAGGAAGGTACAACCACTCAGCTTCCAAAGGCACAGCACTGTGGAATAAGATTTGAGACATTACCAGGGTGGTGCAGGTGCATCTTAGTCTAGGTCCCTTCTGTCTTGGTGTCCTCAATGTCACACATTCCCACAAACTAGTTGCCATAAAGCTGGAGCATCTGATCTCAGGAACCTAATTATTTTGCTTCACCGTAACTGTATTTACGAATTTAAGAAACACAAGATTCTTTTAGGCTCTGGCCAAAAATAAATCGCTACAGTGGGACATAGAGTGAATTCCCAGTGGATTACTGGGTTGAACTGAAAGAAAACAGGAAAAAACAGTAAGTGGTGATCATATTATTATCTGCAAGAGCAAAATGCTGATTTCTTCTTTGGAAACTAGATTTCAGGGAGATGATCTCTGAACATGGATGGGACTTCCTTGTGATTTCTCCAAACTACTAAAAGAAAGAACTCTAATTGTAAACAATTTCTTCTAACAACCATCATATAAATGTGAGTTTTTAAAGGCTCCAGCAAATACACAGAAACTGTAAAGTGCCAATGGACAAGAGGTGCCAGCACAGCGGAGGGAGGGTTGGGAAGAAATGAAAACAGAATGACACTCTCTTATTCTTCTGGAATATTAGAACTAGATGGGGCCTCTGAGATCATATGATCTACGCTTTCCCAAACTTCAATCATCTGCACTTTCACTTCATCCTTACAACTAATTAATATTTTTCTGTAAATTCATGATCCCTGGAAATCAGGGGCTTAATATATTGTTATATTTTCCTAATATAACACTAAACGACGAATCAATTTTTCTAATACAACACTAAACACTAAAACTACTAAAATAAAGTTTGTCAGCATGCCACACCTTGAGAAATAACCATTTTATAAACCAAGTGGCACAACCTTGACATGTCATTCATTTATGAGACAATCTTCTCCAGATATGTCCAAATGTGCCTATGAAGTTCACCTAAATTTATCATGTAAGTGTCACGAAACCCTTACTTTTTCCAACCTGGTTTTTCTAAAGTGAGAAATAATTGGCAAGGGCATGGTTTGTAAGATAACCAGAAAGAAAGTCCTTTTTACCTTCAAGGTGTTTACATTCTAAATGGGCAGAAAAAGAATTCCAAACTTAATTGTGTTTCATCTATTTACTAAGAAGCTATGTTAACACTGAGCTAACCTTAAAAGAGTGAATAGTTAAAGGAATGGTCACAGATCCTAGTCTTGGGAAGTGGCAGAATACATTGCAAAGAGTGAGGAGTTCTCTCCAGGTGACAAAAGGCTGCATTTTTTTCTTTAGATTTTTTGTGTCTTTTAAATTTTCTACAGTAAACTTTTATTACTTTTATAATCCAAAGGACACAAATTCTATGTCTAGATTTTTTAGTCATTCCAACCAAGATTTATATGCCGACTCTGCCACTTAAAGCTGTTTGTGACCTCAAGCAAGTTACTTAGCCTGTCCAAGTCTTGATTTTTGAACTGATACAATGAGAGATAATGTGGAGATCACATGAAAAGCTCCCGTCACAATGCTGGCATACAGTAGTAATCAAGAAATGTTAATTCTAGACGTCAATTCTTCCTACATGACACATGAATTTTCCCTAAAGAAAACTGATGATGACAAAACAGACCCCTACAATGATCACCACACCAAGTCACATCCATAAGGCTCTTGTTACCTTGGCTGAAGCTGGCCCCTTCCAGTTCAAGTACTGCTCTAGTTCTGTGCCCTTAGCCCGGGCCCTGGAGGAGTCAAACACTTTCCTCTTGGAACCCCGCATCCTGCTGCAGATGTTGGAGTGTCTCTCCAGCCTGAACGAGAGGAATTTGCGCCCACAGTGGCTGCACTCACCCAGCTGTGGCTCTTCAATGGAGCCGCTGGAACCTGAGGAGTCTGGTGCCATGGACAGGCTGGAATTTCTGGCGGATCCCTGCAAAGCACCGACTGGTGTTTCTGAAGGCGGGGAGAATTTCTCCACCGATGGCTCTGAGACTGGGTCTCGAATTTTATTATTGCTTGCTACCAGCCTTTCCCTTTTGAGCCTCTGGATTCTATAATCAGAGAACTGGAATGGACCTGAATTTTGTTGAGACCGTCCCCAAGTTTCATCCTCTCTCCTGTCTCTACTAAATTCTTCCTCAAACTCAAATTCTGGGGAGAAGATAGGTTTGTACATGGTGTTGCTTTTATTACCTTTAACTCTGCTCCTGGGGAGTATAATTTTCTGTAGCTCTCCGTTTTCATTTTCCTTGGCCTGTTCCTTTTGCGTCTGGATCCTTCTGAGTTCCTCCTCTGTCTTCTTCAGCTTTCCCCTCAGGAGAATCTGCTTTCTTCGGATTTCCTCCTCTAAGCTCTCCCCTGCAGCTTCTAGTCTTCGGATCTGCACCCACTCCGTCCTGTCAAAGTTTGCCACGGCCTTCTCCGCCTGCGTGGCAGCAAGAACAGTACCAACCACAGAAAAGTTGCCCTGGTTCCTCACACCAAAGTTCCTAGATGAAAACTCTCTCGGCTCAGGGGGCCTTGGGTAGACATTATGGTCCCCATCAGTGCCAGCCTCACCTGTACTGCACGACTTCCTGTGGACCATGGGTTTCAATGGGAACGCCCGGTCCACTCCAACTCGTTTCTTTGTAAAGGGGATAAAGTCCTGGTTATTGGCTTTGGGATACCAGGATTGAGGGCCTGACGAGTAAAACAAACCATTTCCTTGGCCCTGGGAATCACTTTCTGGATCTTGCTGGCTGATTCCAGTACAGTGGGGATAGGAGTAGCTCCGGGCTTTTGTTTGGGTGTTCCATTTGGGGTGAGTATAGACTTTATCCAGAATCAACTCTTTGTTGCTCAAAAGCTGCTTCTGGAAATTGTTCCTCAGGTGCCCCTTCAAGGACTGCTGGGAAGAGTCACCTTGTTCGTAAGAGTCTTGCTTGGCTGAGTGGGGCCCTGGAGCTTCCGTTGTATTATGTGGGAGCATAACGCCCACAGGCAGATGTGACGCCAACCGCTGGAGACCAGCCATTCAGGGCCTGGACTGACGCCTACGGGAGATTTAAACCAGATACACGGGAAGAGTTTGTCTGAGGTTCACTCTCGGCTGCTAAAGCAAACTATTTCTACATTTGCCCTGCCCACATTCCCTTAAACTTTTCTGGGGACAGTGTTGCTGGACCTGCCAAAGCTTCCCTTCAAAAACCATTTGGTGAGTGATTATGCACAAGACACTGTGTTAGGCCCTGAGGGTAGAAAAACGAAGGTGCTACAGGTGTTCCTGCCACCTAGCTTTCCTTTCCTCCAGCACCAGCCTCTGCCACGCACAGTATACTCTATAGTAGGTGGAAAGAGCACCTGACTAGAAAGTCAGGTTCTAGGCCTGTAACAGGACAAGCGACTTCTCCCTTGCTGGCCCCCGTTTCTTCCCCTGTAAACTGAAGGGTTCCCGCAGAGTCCAGCCTCACCATTTTACAGGTGAGAAAGCTGTGGCCCAGAGGTAGTGACTGGCACAAAGAACTCTCAGGGCTTCCCTCCTGCTGGAACCGTGCTTGATTCCAAAGAGCACAAAAGCTGCTAGGGCCTGGAGCAGGTGCCTGGCTGTCAAACCCTCATCCCAGGAGTCCCCGTGGCGCAGACTGTAAAAGTTTTGTAACCTGAGCGTTGAGGGCCACCTGACCTGACCGCGGCCGGTTTTAGATCCTTAAGGCTGAAGTCACGTTTTGTCCCGAAGGGTCAACTGGGGCGCCCCCACTTCGGACTCCACCTCTGGGGACAAGTCCTCTCGCTCTCCTGCCCTTCGGTCCCTTAGGAGGTGGAGGTGCTGATCCCATGTCTCCCCGCCCTTCTGCGTACCTGAGGCCCTCGGGCACCGCTCCTGCTCAGGGAAAACCCCAGGGCCTAGTTTCCCAGACCTGACCTCCCCATCAACCGACAGCCGCGCAGGCGCTCTCAGCTGGCTTCTGTTATTCCCGGTGCCTGGAAACCGAGGCACTGGCGCGCCAAGCTCCGCCCCTCGCCGCGAACTCCTCGGGGAGACGCGCGCAGGCGCAGTGCACCAGCGACCCGGGGCGACCGGGGGTGGGGGTGCGGTCAGCCCAAGGTCACTTGACCCAGTCAGTGTCCGGCCAACTCTGCAGCTCGGTCCAGCCCTGCCCTTGGGGAGCCGGGGAGGGGCGGGAGAGGCTTTTCTGGAGCTCCTTCAAAGAAGAACTTGTACTTTTCTGAGAACGACGCTCCCAGACCTTGGGGTGTGCCCTTGTCTGGCAAAGGGCGGAGGCCCTGGCTGTGCCTCCGCGTGCTTCCGCCGCAGGATGCCGGCGTCCGCCCGCCTGGCGGGAGCGGGGCTGCTGCTGGCCTTTCTCCGCGCGCTCGGCTGCGCTGGGCGGGCCCCAGGTATGGCTGCACGCGCGCGCTCCTTGCTTGTCCTCGCCAAGGCTTTGGAACTTGCTGCCAACGTTTTTGCTACGCAGTATCTTTCCGTGGTAGTTTTTGTGGCCAATCTAATTATTTTGATATTATAATGTTTTACTCACGTGGTAATTCTAGCCGTCTCTACTTAGGGCCCAGGAATGACTCAGCCAAATGTAATGATGATAAAGTTAACTACCAGATCGAAAATAATCAGTATAACCTGGCTTCAACAGTAAATGATACTCTATCTTGTTGACATCAAAAGAAAGTTCATTTTTCTTCTTCGCTTCAGTTCATCTGTGTAAGCCGTTTGGAACAGGCAGTTCGCTTTTTCCCTGTAACTACTCAATTCATGCACATGGAAAATAATGTAGACAGCAGTCATCAGTGTTAATACTTCAACATGTCATATTACAGCTGTTACCCGTTACAAGGAAATTCCTTGGTGGACCCTCCAGATCAGTCTTTTTTTTTTTTTTAATTCCTCGTTTTCATCCCTAGTTGACTCTACCGCCTCTCCGTATATGCAGCTCCAGACGTTTCCCACTCCACTCAGGGTCCCGATTATCAACTCCCACAGCTTCCCTCAGCAGAATTTACCGGCTTTCTTTTTCTCTTTCTCTCTCTCTCTGTCTCTCTCTCTTCTTCCTCCTCTCCCTCTCTCCTCTGTTTCTGTCTCTGTCTGTCTCCCTCTCTCCTCTCTCTCTCTCCTTCCCTCTCCTCTATGAGAAAGAAGGGCGACTTTCCATTGAGTTCCATTGAGTTCTCTTGAATTAGTCCTTTTCAGTACCCTCCGGGAATTGACTCCATCACTTTACCCCTGCATTTTTGTTTTGTTTTGTTTTCTGTTTTGTTGGTTTTTGGGGTTTTTTAAAGTTGTTTGTTTTTTGTTTTTTGAGACGGAATCTCGCCCTGTTTTGTTGCCCAGGCTGAAGTGCAGTGGCGCACTCTTAGCTCACTGCCACCTCTGCCTCCTGGGTTCAAGTGATTCTCCTGCCTCAGCCTCCCGAGTAGCTGAGATTACAGGCGTCTGCCACTACACCTGGCTAATTTTTTGTATTTTTAGTAGAGACAGAGTTTCACCATGTTGGCCAGGCTGGTCTTGAACTCCTGACCCCAGGTGATCCGCCTGTCTCAGCCTCCCAAAGTGCTGGGATTACAAGCATGAGCCACCGGGCCTGGCCTTTGTTTTTGAGACAGGGCCTCACTCTGTTGCCCAGGCTGAAGTGCAGTGGCACAATCACTGCTCACTGGAGCCTCAACTTCCACAGCTCAAGTGATCCTCCCACCTCAGCCTCCCGAGTAGCTGGGACTACAGGTGTGTGCCCCCCACACCCAGCTTACTTCTTTTTTTTTTTTCTGTAGAGACAGGGTCTCCCTTTGTTACCCAGGCTGGTCTCAAACCCCTGGAGTCAAAAGAGATCCTCCCGCCTCAGTCTCACAAAGTACTGAGATTATAGACGTGAGAGACGGCACCCTGTCTGCATCTTGTTAACTTCAAGTTATACCTCTCCATAAACTCTGTCTCTTTGGTTTTAACATATACTCAACTTTCCCCTGCAAAACAAACCTTACTTCCCTTGACCTAACTTTCATATTACAGTCCCATTCATTTCTCCTCTTCTCCACAAGACTTCTTAATGGAAATCTCCACATTTGCTGCCCACATATCCTCATCTCCCCGTCATTGTCCAGTTCATTGTGGCCTGTCTTCTACTTTCTCCACTTTATTTAACTACAAAGCTACCAGTGACTTTCCAAAGACAAAAGCTTCATTTTTTCAGCCTACTCATGTGACATTACTGATTATCCACCCACTTAGAATGCTCTTCTCAGTTCTCCTGTGCCCTCTTGGTTTCTTCTTTCATGTTCTTGCTCCATCTTCTTCCAAGTCTGGCATTTATCTTTTCCCCATCTACTCCCTAAATTTAAGTGTTTTCTGAAGCCCTCTTATTTCATATATATGTGTGTGTGTGTGTGTGTGTGTGTGTGTGTGTGTGTGTGTGTGTAGTTCCAGACATTCTCTTCTTTAATGATTTCAACCAAATGCTGAAATTTCAGGTTTCACCTGTGTTTAAATGACAGCCAGCTTAGCTTTAGTCTTTCTCATTAGTTACAGACTCAAATTTCAGGACTGCCCATTTGACACCTCCACAAGATTGTTCCTTAGGAACCTCAAATTCTGTAAGACAACATAAACTCTGATCCTCTCCCATTCTCAAATCTGCCTCTCCAGTGTGCCCTTGCATGCTCACAGCATCAGTCTTCCATGCTTCCCTCTTTGTTGCCTCTTCCTTCTAACTAATCACAAGTTTTATTGAGTTTTCTTCCTTTTTTTCTTTGAGACAGTCTTGCTCTGTCATCCAGATGGGGGTGGAGTGGCGCGATCTCAGCTCACTGCAACCTCTGCCTCTCAGGTTCAAGCAATCCTCCTGCCTTGGCCTCCCTAGTAGCTGGAAGTACAGGTGTGCACCACCACGCCCAACTAATTTCTGTATTTTTAGTAGAGATGGGGTTTCATCAGTCTCAAACTCCTGACCTCAGGTGATCCACCTGCCTTAGCCTCCCAAAGTGCTGGGATTACAAACGTGAGCCATCACGCCTGGCCTATTGAGTTTACTTCTGCAATGTCTCTCATATATGACTCTTCCTTTACATTTCTGCTGCCCCAGGTGAGTTTTTCCTCACTTCTCCTTGGGATGGCATAGCCCTCCTAACTTCTGCTCTTGCCTTCAATATCTGCTCTTCAAACCCATCCTTCATGCTGCAGGCAAAATAATCAGTCTAAATATTTCTCCACCCCCCCCCAGCTTTATTAAAATATAATTGACAAGCAAAAATTATATCTATATTTGCAGTGTACAAAGTGATGTTTTGATAATGTATGCATTGTGCAGTGATTAAATCAAGCTAATTACTAAATGCTTCTGATC